>NC_000014.9:74005652-74157167 GCF_000001405.40 Homo sapiens | reverse complement strand
CCAGCTACTCAGGAGGCTGAGGCAGGAGAATTGCTTGAACCTGGGAGGTGGAGGTTGCAGTGAGCCGAGATGGCAACACTGCACTCCAGCCTAGGTGACAAGAGTGAAATTCTGTCTCAAAAAAAAAAAAAAGAAAAAGAAAATATGGTATACATACATAATGAAATACTACTTAGCCATACAAAAGAATGAAATTTGGTCATTCCCAGCAACATGGATGGAACTAGAGGACATTAAGTTAAATGCAATAAGCCAGGCACGGAAAGATAAATACTACATGTTCTCACTCATATGTAAAAGCTAAAAAAGTTGATCTCCTAAGTACAGAGTAGAATAGTGGTTACTGGAGGCTAGGAAGGGGAGGGGAGAGGTAAAGATGGGAGAGGTTGGTCAATGGATACAAAATTACAGCTAGGTAGGGGAACTAAGGTCTAGTGTTCTCTACAACTGTAAGGTGACTGTAATTAACAACAATTTATTGTATATTTTCAAATAGCCAGAGGAGCAGATTTTGAATGTTCCCAACACAAAGAAATGATAAATGTTTGAGGTGATGGATATACTAGTTACCCTGATTTGATCATTACACATTGTATGCATGTATCAAAATATCACCCTATAACTCACAAATATGTGCAATTATTATGTGTCAATTAAAAACAATGAAAGCAAACAAAAAACAAAACCATAAAAAACAAAGAAAAGAAGTAACTGTGGTAGTAGAGGATAGACTTTTCTCACCATTGACCATGCTACACACCTAACAGATGCTCAATTTATACTTGTTGATAGACAGACTGACTATAGGAAAGGGTTATTAGAATTGTAGATTGACATGTAAAAAAGGGTTAGTCTAAAAAAAACAATACTGGGCATTCGCATCAACATAACAAAAGCATTTAAGGCTTGATGTTTGTTTTCTGCTATTGCTAAAAAAGGAGTATTATGATCTGTAACCAAATAATGCCAATTCTTTTTTCTTACATTAATATGACTTTACCTGGCTTAAAATAGGAGGACAAAGCAAATCAATAACCTTATCTACAGGAAATAAAGCCAAGTAAAATTGCATCTAAAACATCAATGTTTATTTCAATCTGTAAGCCCTTTTCTTGCTTGGCTGTACAGTCTCCAGTCATCCCTGAAATACAAGTGATTGGGCTCTTCTGGACCCACCAGTGAAGGGGAGGGAACATTTATCTACCGTCAATTCATGGGACACTAATCTCCTTCCCACTCTTCTGATTACAAGCAAGCAGGATGCTAGAGGAAAGGCCTCAACAGAAGCTTTAAAAATAAATAAATAAACCCAGTCCCTTCTGTTCCAGGAATACAGAAAAGATTGGCATTAATACAAGAGAAAGTGATCTGCCCAAACAAAAGCCAATCTGAAGGAGGAGTAAACCCCACAAGCTAGCCTAGCATTATTGCTAGGAAGATAGCACACTTGTTAAAAATGTATATTTTAATTTTCTGTATTGCAAAAGGCTCCAATTTGCCTGGGGATCTAGCTAAGCTGCCATTTTCTACTACGACGGAGTCTAATCTTTATTTAATGGATTTAGCATCTATCTTTACTAGAGTGGTCTCCAAGGAAAAGGGGAGGGGAGAATGAAGGGGCAGAGAAGAGACGATCAGATCCCCCACCCCCTTTCATCCATCCGGCGCTCATGTTTGTGTTCAAAATTCAATTACCTCCTTATTGATACTTCACAGAGATATTTAAGCTGCAAACATGAAGCCCTGATTTCCCAAGGGGCCATGCCCCTCTCTATTTCACTGCTCTGCTTCCACCAGGGTGAATTCCTGAGGCGTCCATATTAATAGGTCACAATTCATTTATTAAACAGCTAGCAAGGTTTATCAGCCTGCCCTGATTAGCCCAAAGAAACCACTGAATTCCTAATTTATTTATGGAAATGTAAGTGTCTTTTTGAATTTCATTCAGGAGCTGCAGGAGTGTTTTGGTTTTAGCACACTGAAATCTAACAGGCAGCACAAGCAACAAGCAAGCTTTCCAGGAAGAAGAGGGGCTGCTTGGCACTAGAAGGCAAAGAGCCAGAGACATACACTGCAGAGATTCTTTTGGCCACAGGATTTGGGTCCACATAATCCTTGGATTAGTACTTATTTGATTGCTTTCTGTTTACATAAAAGAGTTTGAAATGTTGTCACTAGGCAGCCATTACTACCCACTGTAACAAAAATCAATCTCAGGGATGCTGCTTTTTGATTGGCAGAAAAGTGGCCCTTAATGGAGTAGAATTGAGGACCTCAGTGAGTTAAAAGACAATAATTCTTAGCAGAGTTAAAACCAACACCAGGCCGGAACACAAACCAAAGCCACTAAAATAATACTTTTCAAGCATTCATCTTACACTAGTAACTAAACCCGATCCTGTTTTAATCTTACGTCTTCTAGGCTGCAGGGACAAAACAGCTTTGTGGATAATTTCCGCAACTCTAATCAATTAGCAATTCACCCAAAATTGCCCATTACTAATTAAAAGGCCAATACAGATTAAATAAAGCTCTTAGGAGTAACATTAAAACCCATCCCAACTGCCCCAATAGGTGCAATTAGAAAAGAAACTGTTTCAGGGATATGAGCAGATCATATAACCTAGACTCTTACTTCTAGCCAGAATTAGGACTGGCTGCTTCGGAAAAATGATAAAATATAAAAAATGTAGCCAGTGTTTCAGATCCAACAAAGAATGATGTTAATGTTTATCTTTGGTTAACCACAGCCAATATTTTAAAATCCTAATCTGCCTTCCTTATAGAGCTCATTATGATTAAGAACAACCTCCACATATAGCCTGGTTTATGTAGTGAAAGGCAAACCATAATTATGAAAAATACATCAGACAAATCCCAACTGAGGGACATTCTACAATGTGCCTGACTGTACTCTTTAAAACTGTCATGGCTATCAAAAAACAAGGAAAGTCTGAGAAACTGTCATGCCAACATAAGCCTAAGGAGACATGACAACTAAATGTAATACAGTATCCTAGATGGGACCTGGAACAGAAAAAAAAAAACATTAAGGAAAAGCTAAGGAAATGTGAATAAAGTATGGACTTTATTGGTTCATTAACTGTAATAAATGTACCACACTAACGACAACAGGGGAAATTCCATGTGGGTTATATGGGAACGCTCCTTCTTAATTTTCCTGTAAATTTAAAAATATTCTAAAATTTACAACTTATTGAAAAACAACTAGTGACAATTTACAAACTAAATCAGAAGCTGGCCAAAACACAAATAATTTTTATGTTTTTACAATAGAAGATAGAGTTTAAAAAAATCATTTTCCGCCAGGCATGGTGGCTCACGCCTGTAATCCCAGCACTTTGGGAGGCAGAGGCGGGTGGATCACCTGAAGTCAGCAGTTCGAAACCAGCCTGACCAACATGGTGAAACTCCGTCTCTACTAAAAATACAAAAATTAGCCGGGCATGGTGGTGGGCACCTATAATCCCAGCTATCGGGAGGCTGAGGCAGGAGAATCACTTGAACCTGAGGGGTGTAGGTTGCAGTGAGCCAAGATTGCGCCACTGTACTCCAGCCTGGGCAACAGAGAGAAATTCTGTCTCAAAAAAAAAAAAAATCATTTTCCATTAAAAACAATATTTTTGGAATATTAAAAGACAACATGTTTATAAATGAAAATGTTCATATATACTTATTTATTTTTAACCTAATATGAATAGCAAAAATGTATTTAGTTATCAGCATATTTAGTTACCAGTTTTAAATGTATTCTCTAGAAGATAACCCCATGCAAAATATCAATGACTATTACAATGAATGGGAAACCGCCATAAAGCATACACACACAAAGAAAAAACTAGTTCTAACATTAAAATATAGTTGGGAGGGGTATCTGCAAATAAAATTATAACATATCCTCAAACCAGACATTAACATTCTTTACATCCTTTACTGTGTTCCTCTCCTTGTCTGAATCTTCAAGAAACAATCTGCATGTGCTCTGGTAATGATAAAATGTAGGCTCAGGTCAGGAGCACAACTCCTCCCACTCCCAAATTAGTAATTGCACGCACTAGGATTCTGTTAACTCCAAAGGGAAATATAATAATAAATTTTTCCACTAAGGCTCAGTGTCTTTCATTTAAGTATCTGATACATAAAAATACTATCTATGGTCCTGGCTTTTTTTTTTTTTTTTTTTTTTTGAGACAGAGTCTTGCTTTGTTGCCCCAGCTGGAGGGCAGTGGTGCGATCTCAGCTCACTGCAACCTCTGCCTCCCAGGTTCAAGCAATTCTCCTGCCTCAGCCACCTGAGTAGCTGGGATTACAGGCATGTGCCACCACGCCCAGCTAATTTTTGTATTTTTAGTAGAGATGGGGTTTCATTGTGTTGGCCAGGCTGGTCTCGAACTCCTGACCTTGTGATCTGCCTGCCTTGGCCTTGCAAAGTGCTGGGATTACAGGCGTAAGCCACTGCGCCCAGCTGGCCCTGGCTTCTAAAATACTAGATACAGAAAAGTCAAAACTCAAGTGCATAATGGCAGGCATAGCATAATAAACTAAAAGCAAAGGCTATGGAGTCAGATGGCTTGGATTGATTCACAGCTCTTGGGCTAGTCCAGACCTTTGCCAACTGTAAAATGGCGACAATGTTCCAACTTACAGGGCTGTTGTGAGGCTTTAGAGACTATGTACCTAAAGCACTTAGTGAATGAAGTACCTATTAGTAGGTACTCATAATGATGGCTATTGAAGCAATGATTATCAATGTTTCTTAGCAAGCACCTGATGACTATAGGCAGAACAGGAGGAAACAAAAGTTAATTGAACAGTATAAAAACAATGTAGAGCCCATCTGTAGAGTCCATCACCATTAACACAGCATTCTTTTTTTTTTTTTTTGAGATGGAGGTTTGCTCTGTCACCCAGGCTGGAGTGCAATGGTGCAATCTTGGCTCACTGCAGCCTCCGCCTCCTGGGTTCAAGTGGTTCTCGTGCCTCAGCCTCCCGAGTAGCTGGGATTACAGGCATGCACCATCATGTCAGGCTAATTTTTGTATTTTTA
The DNA here is from genome assembly GCF_000001405.40 of Homo sapiens. Taxonomy (NCBI): domain Eukaryota; kingdom Metazoa; phylum Chordata; class Mammalia; order Primates; family Hominidae; genus Homo; species Homo sapiens. Next base: position 74,152,099 of record NC_000014.9, on the reverse strand, counting down.
ATAGAGATGGGGTTTCACCATGTTGGACAGGCTGGTCCCGAAGTCCTGACCTCAGCCTCAAGTGATTCGCCCACCTCAGCCTCCCAAAGTGGTAGGATTACAGGCGTGAGCCACCTCGCCCTGCCTAACAACAGCACACTTAATTTAAGACAATGCATCCATTTGATGAACTTAACAACCTGTGGGGAAGGCACAGCAGTTACTTATCACCTATAGTTTTCATAGATGAGAAAAAAAAAATGGCAGGTTAAGTGATTTGCCCAAGGTCACTACCTAATAAGGAGCAAAGTCAGGACTTGCATGTAGTTCTTCTGACTCCAACTGATTAGTTTGTTAATTGATCTCTTGTTCTGCACGATAGCCATGTTTCGTCCTTTTAACTGGCTGATAACTCTTGACTTCTATGGCATGTTACTATAATCGATGTCAAATTCCTTAAAATTAAAACCCCCATATGGCAAAGAGTCTTAAAGCCCACCAAGCACTACTATTATAAGACAATTTCAACATTAAAAAAGAGAATCTATTCAAATAGCATTTGATTTATATTAAAATAACCAGCAAAAACAGACTGGTCAATCACTTTTTTCTTTTAATTTCTGCTCAACTGCATCCTAATCACCTCATTAATAAATTTCACTGACATCTTTGTATAAAGCAGTTAGTCATTATCTCAATCTTCCTAAATATATGACAGGAAAAAAAGACACTGGCCAAATCCTTTCCAAGGGTTCTATCCAATAATTCCCACTTAAAGGAATACTACATTAAACAAACTTCCTCTTACTCTGTATGTTGTGGTTATTATTGCTTCATTCACAATAGTAATACCACATATGGAAAAAAATAATAAAATGTTCTTTCTGGTCTAATTATCCCAGTATGTGACTTTTCTTCATTCCCACCGAAAAAAGTTGCTACCCCAGTACACCCACATTTTAACTAAAAACTTCAAAGGGAATACTGCCATCTACTGAATCACATTCATCACCACCCTTTCTCTATGCCGGTGACCTCAATTAATGACTCTCTGGGTATAAAAATTGTATTTTAAGGAGGTTTATATTAAAAAACAAACCTCTAAGGCAGAAAAGGTTGTGTACATTCATAGCTGCCCATGACAAAAATATCTTCGAAAACAATTCCAGCTACTCGTATCCCATTATATAAGGCCTGCTCAAGAAATATTTTGAAATCTGGAGCTTGGAGCAGGGGGGCGGGAGGGTTGGTTTCCTTCATCTTCAACATCTTTTCCTAACTGGCTGGAAAACTACTGATGCTCAATATCCTTTTTTCATGAGCTTCCCATATCAAACCAGAAAGGCTTTAAGTGCTACCACTTCAATTTAAGGTCAGACTGGCTATTAGCCCTTAGAGTGTATTCATTTTCATTTTTATCTCAGTCACTATTTGTCTTTAAATTTTTTTTAGTTAATTTAAAAAAGTATAACATATGAACAGAAAAATGTACAAATCATAAATATACTGTGTAACAACCACATATAGGTACATAGAGAATCATTACCACCACTGCAGAAGCCTCTTCCTCAGGCCCCCTCCCAGCCATCATCATAGCCCCAATGCAACCATTATTTGGATTTGTATCACCATGGATTAGCTCTGCATGTTTCTGAACTTTATAGAAATGAAACTGTACAATATAAACTCTTTTGTGTCTAGCTTCATCATTCAATGTTATATATATTCTTGAGATTCATTCATGTTGTTGCATGTAGCAAGAGCTGGTTCATTTTCATGGCTATACAGTATTCTACTATGTTCTTTATCAATAATAAATTTTTGCATTATTTATTCATTCTACTGCCAATTGATTTGAGGTTGTTTCTAGTTTGGGTCAATTATAAATACTGCTGCTCCAAACATTTTTGTATGTATCTTTATCTTTCGGCACACAAATGCATGCATACCTATTTCTAGGGTACATAGCATAAAAATTACTGAGGCATAGGGTAGAGGTATGATCAGTTTTAGTAGATACCGCCTAAGTTTTCCAAAATGGTTGTACTGATAATCACTTGCCATTTAAAGCCTCCTATTTCTCAGCAGGGGGACAATCTTTTAACTATAAATTGTTCTCAGTTAAAAGAATTTGAGACACTTAGAAGCAGTAAGAAGCACTTAGGGAAAGAGAGGTTAGAGAGCTGCTAAGATGGTAACACAAGACCTTTCCAGACTCTTGGTCCCCCTTGAGGACTATGACCTGGAATCCACGAGTTGGTAGAAGACTATTTTGCAAACAGAAGAGTCTGTATCCCATGTCACTGTAGCCTACAGCCAATTTACCAGTAAGTTTCTTTCATCCAGGTTCTCCTAAACATTCTCTAACCCTAATCAATACCTCAGACTCCCAGATAAAGATATTATATATTTCAACTATAAGCTAAATTATTTTAGTTAGAATTCAAAGGCATTTTTATATCATTCTTTCTTATCTGATTGCATGGAATGTGTTTTGAAGGAAAAAAGTTTATGAAAAACAAGAATATTGCTGGAATTGAATCGGAATTACTATAATGGCAACCCCTCCCCAAAGATTTCTCCTATTTATAGTGACAAAGACCCTTGTCAATAATGTGAGAATACCACGCATAACCTCATTCATGTACCGATCAGGCCTGGTGCAGTCTTATCTCATCATGATGTCTCAACTTAAAGGCAAAAAGGAGACAGCTGCCAGAATATTTTAATACCTATGAATTTAGAGAATTGCTTTACGTCAGTCTAATCGTTTTGTAGAGTTATAAAAATATCCACTACAAAAGTGATGCTATAAGTATGTGTCCTTATGTAGCTGAGGGTTATAAAACACTGCACGGCCCTGGGTCAAAGCCTGCCAAGCCAAAACTGATATACATCAGTGTTGCTGTGAATTTTTAAAACCATGCTGCCTAATCTTTCCAAAGAACTCTTGCTCATTTAAATAAGAATTAGCTGCAATAGTAACCAACTACTTCAGTGCTTCAATAATGAGTTGTGCCCACTGAAAATTCAGAAATCATCACCGCCTGTCACAGGAAGTTAACATTTAACATGTAGAAGAAAAACCCCAAAATATTTTAAAAATTAAGGGTTTTTGTGACTCTGATAGGTAGTAAATCCATTCACCATGGAAAGCTGAAATCAAAATCATTGTCAAGGTGCAGGTCAAATTCATACTAGGCCACAGACACTTGATGGTGGCTTTCTTATCTCTTTGTTGCCACTTCTAGGCTTAGCAGGGTAAAGCTAGACAGGCTGTTGCATGGCCCAGTGGCCAAATTATGATGTAAAGTTACTTCGCCCCCTTAACATACTGATCTATATGTGGAGGAATAGACAATCAAGCAATTTTTTTTTTCTGTCTAACCTAACAAACTGGGATACTAACAAGGGAAATGAATATGAGAAAAAAATAATTTTTGCAGGTTAATCAAATAGCAACTGCTATATAAAATACTACATTTTACATGGAATCTTACAGCAAGAAGGAAACCAACTTGCCACTGTTGATATGTAGGATTTGTTGTTGTTGTTGTTCGTTTATATCCCACTTTTTTTATAAGACTTTTTCCAAACACCTTTAGCCTACTGTAATCTCTCATTTCTGTCAACTTCTATGCTCCTCAAGTGGATCAGTACATGCTCTCTTGTACTGTGATCAAACTTTTTATACATTTGCCTTGTCTCTCTAGTCAGATTGTAAGTGCCATGAGAGGAGCTTATGTATTTTTGACACCCAGGGTCTAGCACATTGGTTTACATAATAAATATTTACTTATTATGATAATATCAAAATCTTAAGAAATAGATGTGAACCTTTGGTAGGGTCCCAGATGTTAACATAAGTACTGAGGAGGATCAGGAGATTATTTCCAATCTATTTTGCGAAATAATAAAGGGAAGAGGAGAGTTAGAAGGGACTTATTCATGAATTGAGGAAAGTGGAATATAAAATCACTACACATTAAAAAAAGGCCTTTGATTAGGAGCAGGCCTATAATAGACTGTCAAATCTTCTGGGCTTCCTAGATAGGTTTTGTTTTCTTTTTTCTTCTTTTCTCATATAACTTTTAAAAACTTGAGATATAATTCACATAGCATAAAAGTCACCTTCCCCCACTTTAAAATTGTGAAATATACATAACACTTACCATCTCAACCATTTTTAAGTGTACAGTTTAGTGTGGCATTAAGTGTGTTTGCATCACTGTGCAACCAATCTCCAGAACTTTTTCAACTTGCAAAACTGAAACTCTGTAACCATTAAACAATACTCCCCCATTCCTCCCAACCCCCATTCTACTTTCTGTCTCTATGAATTTGACTACTCTGATTACCTCACATAAGTGGAATTACGTAGTGTTTTTTTGTGACTGGCTTATTTCACTTAGCATAATGTCCCACAAGGTTGTGTGTCAGATTTTCCTTCCTTTGTAAAGGCTGAATAATATTCCATTGCATGTATCTACTACATTTTGTTTATCCATTCACCTGTCAATGAACATTTGGATTGCTTCCACCTTTTAGCTATTGTGAATAATGCTACTATGAACACAGGTGCTGGGATTTCAGGCGTAAGTCACCACACCTGTCCTACCCAAGTACTTTCTTAATGGTGTCTTTGAAGCACAGAAGTGTTTAATTGTAATGGAGCTTGTTCTTTTGGTATCATATCTAAGAAACTACTGCCAAATTCAAGGTCATGATTTATGCCTATGTTCTATAGTTTCAGCTCTTATATTTAGGTCCATGATCCATTTTGAGTTAATTTTTTATATGATATGAGGTAGAGGGTCCAATTTTATTTTATTTTATTTTTTATGTGGATATTTTGTTTGTTTGAGATGAAGTTTCGCTCTTACTGCCCAGGTTGGAATGCAATGGTGCGATCTCGGGTCACTGCAACCTTCGCCTCAGGCATCCAAGCGATTCTCCTGCCTTAGCCTTCCAAGTAGCTGGGATTACAGGGGTGCGTTGTCATGCCCAGCTAATTTTGTAGTTTTAGTAGAGATGAGGTTTCATCATGTTGGTCAGGCTGGTCTCAAACTCCTGACCTCAAGTGATCCACCCACCTCGGCGTCCCAAATTGCTGGGTTTACAGGCATGAGCCACCATGCCTGGCCTCATGTGGATATTGTTTTCCAGCACCAGTTGTTGAAAGAGACTACTTTTCCCCCATTGAATGATCTTGGTGTCCTTGTCAAAAACCAATTAACTGTAAATATGGGGGTTTATTTCTGGATTCTCAATCATATTCCATTGATCTATATGGCTATCCTTATGCCACTACTGCACTGTCTTAATTACTGTAATTTTGTAGTAGGTTTTGAGACTGGGAAGTGTAAGTCCTTCAACTTTGTTCTTTTTCAAGATTGTTTTGCTATTCTGGGTCCCTTGCAATTATTTCCATGTGATTTTTAGGATTAACTTGTCAGTGTTGATTTTTCTGTACTTTATGCTTAAGAAGGAAACCAAGGTATTCTGAACAATCAATCTATAATTGTTACTAGTACCTGAATTCAAGTCTTTAATATCTGTGGGCTTTCTACTATGAAGGCATGAAAGTCAATGTAACACAGGAGTTTATCTGCAATTTTGCTTAGGAACAAATCTGAACAGCACACACTGGAAGAGCAATTCACTTAGCTGGCTAGTGAACCTAGTGGTCCACCCAGTACCTGCATCCCACCATGGCTACGAGATTCCCTAACAGTACTCTTACACATGATAAAAATAACATTTTATGGAAACTGAAGAGAACTAAAGGAATTTGGAAGGCATATTTTTCTTATGGTTGGCACAGATATATGACATGAATAGTTCCATAATGTATCCAGCCGTGTGTGGGAACGTTTTAACAAGTATCCCAGCTTTTATCAAACATGTTCATCAATAGAGAGAAAAATACATACTTCTCTGAAAAGGCAGTGAGGATGATTCAGGAAACATGGGATTCATGACCAAAATGTGATTTGGGAAAAAATAATGAAAGGGGAAAAGTAAGCACCTATCTATTATGTACCAAGTATGGTAAATGTTGGGAATTCAGTGGTGAAACCTGCAAATACCTAGATATCCTCACAGAGCTCTATGAGGGAGTTTAAGATCAGACTTGACTATTTCACGTCATAGAATCTGCAGTCTTTATGAAAAAACAAGTTTTCCATACCAATCTGAAAACCCCAAGACATGAAAGGAATGTCTTTCCAAATATTGGTAGTCCAGTGGAAAAAAACACCCTCAGACACAGGGCAAGGTGTTTTGGACTGGTTTCAAAAACATTTCATGTTTTGTCTCTTAGAAGGGCCGAGAAACAAACAAACAAAAAAACAAAACACTTTGTGCCAGAAATGTCTAAGCTTGAATTTCAAGTTCTCCCTACTGTGGAAAATGTGGAAGGCTATCTTTAATTACTATAGTTTACAATTCTAAATCCTTAAGTGATGTTCCTTCCTCTGAATACTTCTGACTTTTCGACCAGACTGTAAGAGACAAGCTCAAAGCATATGACTTTGCCACACTTTCATTGTCATCAAAAAATGCCATGGACAAAGATAGCAAACTTATTAACAGGCAGCTTTAGAAGAGGTACATCCTTGATTATGTAAGGATTCCATAGAGAATCTTTTACTACAAATCAGGTGATCTACAAAAGTGGATGCTTACTGGCATACTGTAAGGAAGAAGGCAGTGTATAACTTTAAGATTATTTTCACAGGCAATGAAGAATACACTGTTAATACTGGAGAGGCAAGAGGTTGGCAAAGGTTTGGAGGGCACACATAAAAGTAATATGGAAGAACTGAAAAAACAATAAGACTCACAGATGAGTTGGCAAAGAATGGCAAAGGGGATGACACTGAAGAATTAGAAGAACTTTTTTGAGTTTTCATACATTTAGTCAACGTTCTAATGGAGAAACAGCTAATTGACACCATAACTGCTTATGATCAATGGATAGAGCTTTAAATGTTAAAATCTGCACTGATTTCATACCATGGAATAAAAGCCAACTACAGCTACCACTCAGAGTTCTTTAGAAAGAAGCGATCACTTCACAAAGGTTCCCTCTCAGAATACTGTTTCACAATGATCTCCCTTATCTCTTCTATCACGTGCCTTGTTTTCAAGGTTATTGTTGAAGTGTCACTTTTTTTGTGGCTTAGTACACACTTCATGATCTCAACCACACAACCCGTGATCATCTGACATGTTGAGTTTGAAGATTCAGACAAGTTCCAGTTAACATTTCTATTTGTAATTAAACATATTGCAGTGTAACATTTATTTTAGTGGGAGAATACTTTACTTACTTCTAATTATAGAATAATTCATACCAAAGGCCCAAACGGTAACAATTTTTTTAACTGTACTTTACCACATTTTAGAGGAAAAATGATACACTATGAGTTATCACAAACTTGGAAATTTGCAGTTACCTCATGAATGTCAAGGTCCTGTCTTGAAAGCGACAAGCTGACTTACCACAGAAGTGCCAGGTGCTCATTTTATAGGTAGATTTCATAGACCTTATATTTAATAAGAATTTGTTAGAGTTACATTTGCTAAGGGAAGACAATCTCTCAGATGTTGAGAATACCAGAAAAAGAATCTTTTTGCTGCATTCTTCCTAGGAGAGACTGAAATAATGTGATGGTTTAAAAATAATTTGAGGCTGGGCACAGTGGCTCACATCTGTAATCCCTGCCTTTCGGAAGGCCAAGGTGGGAGGATTGATTGAGCCCAGGAGTTCGAGACCAGCCTGGGCAACAAAGTGAGACCCCTCCCAACCCCCATGGCTCCAATTAAAAAAAAAAAAATTAGCTGGGTGTGGCTCCCACACCAGCTACTTGGGAGGCTGAGGCGGAAGGATCTCTTGACCCCAGGGTCGAAGCTGCAGTGAGCCGTGTTTGTACCACTGCACACCAGCCTGGGTGACAGAGCAAGACCCTGTCTTAAAAAAAAAAAAAAATTGAAGAATAAAACCTTGTCATGTGTGACAACATGGTTGAAACTGGAGGGCATCATGTTAAGTGAAATAAGCCAGACACAGAAAGACAAATACTGCCATGATCTCACTCATATGTGGAATCTTGTAAGAAAAAAAAAAATTGAGATCATAGAAGCAGAGTGGTTACCAGAAACTGGAAAGAGGGGAGAAGAGGGCAGGGGAGGAGGATGAGGAAAGTTTGGTCAACAGGCACAAAATTACAATTATACAGGAGTTCTGGTGTTCTGTTGCACAGCAGGGTGACTAGTTAACAGTAAGGTATCACATATTATGAAATAGCTGGAAGAGAGGCTTTTGAATGTTCTCACCACAAAGAAATAATAAATGCATGTGGTAATAGATATGCTAGCTACCCTGATTTGATCTTTATACAACATATGTGAATTGAAATGTCAAACTGTACCCCATAAACATGTACAATTATAATGTATCAATTAAAAATATGAAAAAATTATAATTTGTATAGTTAAAAAAAAACTTCACAGTAAATTCTTTGTTAAAAAGTGCATCTGCTTTTTTGGCGGACTATGTGGAGACAGAGGCTTCTCATTCTGTTGCCCAGGCTGGAGTGCAGTGGAGCAATCACAGCTCGCTGCAGGCTCTGCTTCTTGGGCTCAAATGCATCCTCCCACTTCAGCTTCCCAAGTAGCTGGGACCACAGGGGCACACTGCCACACTTGGCTAATTTTATTGGTATTTTTTGGCAGAGACAGGGTCTTTCTATGTCGTCCACGCTGGTCTCGAACTCTGGGGTCAAGTGATCCTCCCACCTTGGCCTCTCAAAGTGCTGAGATTACAGGCATAAGCCACTATGCCCAGGCTCATTCTGTTTCTGTCAGAGTAAGATAGGAGAGTATAGAACACAGAAGACACAAAATAGTGTACAAAATAAGAAAGATGTTCTGTTAAACTATAGGTGTTATGCACAAAGCTTGTAGGAAATTGATAATTTATACTATAAACTATTTTCCTATTTCAAATGCACATCCCGCTTGTCCTAGCTTCAGGGAACTGATTTGTGTATGCTCTGGACTCATTCCATAGTCTATCTATAGTAAGAAACTTTATCTGAAATTTGTCTATTTGCTTATTAGATTTAGTCTTCTGATGACTTATGGAAAGTCCTAACCCAATTTGATCAGAAAGCCAAAACGTCACCAAGAGGAAGCATAGGTCCAGGGCTGAGCAAAGGTTTTTTGTAAAGAACCAAACAGACTGAATGTGGCCCACAAGCCTAACATAACATAAGTATGAATGGGACGTAAGGATGTTATGTTAGGCTTGTGGGCCACATTCAGTCTGTTTCAGATTCTTCCGTTTTTTGTTTTTGTTTTACTTTTACAGCCCCCATAAAAACGTAAAAAACATTCTTAGCTCAGAGAATACAAAAACAGGTTGCAGGCCATAGTTTGCTGACCTTTGGTCTAGAGCAGTGCTGTCCAATGTGGTAGTCATTAGCGACACATGGCTACTGAGCATTTCCTAGAGTGACTGAGGAATTAGATTTTAAATTTTATTTTTAATTAATTTAACTTCAAACAAACACATGCAGTTAGTGGCTACTGCTTTGAATAGTTTAGGTCTACAAGATCTCCAATAGCCCAGAACAGCCCCAGAAATCTCTGTATACCTACATCCCATGAATCTAATAAAGGCTTGGACAAGAAGTAAATCAGTTATTGTTATTAATAATAGCCTCCAATTATTAAATTAAAGATTGGGCATCAATTCAAATGACTAACATCAAGGACAAGAAAAGCACTGTATAAAAAGTCTGAAACAAAACTAGTTTGCATTTTGCAATTTAGTAGTATGACATCTCTTCAATATTTGGTCAAACCTCAATTTTGAAGTGTTGAGAATGGGACTAAAGAGCTTCGAGTTAAAAAAAAGACTTGCAATGCTCCCATCTTTGGCAGATGTGGAATTTCTACCATTCAATTTGCATACAGATTCTCTTATTAAGACAGATGCAACTAAAATTAAGTTTCTGTTTGACTGAGAAGACAACTGATTTCTCCTATCACTGACCTGAAATGCTCCTGGAAAATTGCTTTGCTTCATTCATCACACTGCCACTCCCAGCAAGGCCCTTAAAGTTCATGAGGCACAAACTTGCTTTGTTAGCCAAGCTGTTACACAAGAAACCTAAGTCCTCATTTCCACGTGCTGACAAATCATTTCCCAAGTCCATTAATGCGTTCAAAACTTGATTCCTGGAACTTCTGAAGTAGAAAATTAGGGGAGAAAACACTCATTCAACTTTAGAGGAAGCCGCCAGTCAGTGCCTTGGACAACACTCATCAAAGGCTATTTGTTTTCCCCACCTATCTGGGACAGAATACTTCTCATTTAACTAAGCAACAAATTAAAAGCACACAGTGGGGTGCATATCACTACACATATGTCCGGCTAATGATGCATGACAAGACTCACACTACCTCCCCCCTAAAAGCTTTACCTCCAGAATTTCCTATTTTAAAACAATACTGGACTAAAATGTAACATTCCTGAAGTAAGGAAAATCACTTCATGTAAAAGCAGAGTTTGAACTATGGAACACAAGTCAGTGGATGCAACCTGCTTGTATGGTAAGGCTTCATTTATAAGGTCCAAGTCAAACTATCTACAAAGAGTCTTGAATTGGTACATCCATATAGTGAAATCCTATGAAGCATTTGGAAAACAGTGAAGCAGATCTATGTATACTGCTGTGGAAAGATATCCAAGACATGTTGTGGGGTCAAAGATAAGTCACAAAACAGTATGTATATTATGATTGCATCTGTGTATGGTAATGTATATAAACTTTACTATGTACAGAAAATGTCTGGAAGCATCCATGGAGAAACTGTTCGTGGCAGTTACCGCTCATAAATTCAGCAGATAAGGATTTTACTTTTCACTTTATATCCTTTCATGTTATTTTAAAATATTCTTAAAATCAAGAGCTTGTATTATTTGTATAAGTTTAACATATTCCTTTAAAAGCACAGAGAGATCTTTACAGTGGTTTCCTCCAGAAACCACTTATTTACCATTACAGTGTTTGATAATTGAAATGAAAAAGTTAAAACTGTTCCTTTTGTAGTTAACATCATTGTAATGTTCCTACGATAGCTTTTATTAATGAATTTCCATGGGGGACAGAAGAGAAAAACGCACACAACGGTATTACAAAACAGAAAAAAAATAAGGCACTTGCTAGGACAAGGCAATCCACAAGTGCCAACCAGCTCCAGGGCCATAAAGATCTCAGGAGAGCCATCACATTTCAATTACCATCACTAACATTACTTATTATTTGGCCTGCTCCAGTCCCTAAGGAAGGCAGCTTGTGATGATAATACCCAGCCTCTTCTTGTAAAACAATTCATTAGGCAAAGCAGAACAGCTGGGGCAGCCACGTGCGGGTTCTTAAAGCACCGCCCCACTGGGACCTCTGGCCCAGATTTCCCTTTTCGTGACGGACAGTCACCACCCCTCTGACAGCTGTAGAGTCCTCCGGGGACACTTCAGGTTTAATCAGTACTTCCTGCACTGGAGAGGGTCATTTGATTTCTAACATAAACTAATGGCAATCCTGCTTACAGCAGGTTACACCAGACATCAGATAAGAGGCTTTAGGGCATTTTTATCTTGTTCTAATGCTCGAGAGTTAATGAGGCAGCAAAAGATATTGTCATAGAGCCCCGGTGTAGCTATATTATCCAATAAACAGACTCTTTCCAAGACAGGTTTAATATGGATCGAGGAGGTAAAGAAGGCTAGCTTAATATTGATCCTACTGAGAGGATGAGAATCCAGTCACCATAACTAGGGCAAAATCATGCACATTCTGCAGTAGACAAAGTGCTACAAGAAGGTAAGGAGTCGCCTTTAAATACTAAGAGTAAAATGCTGCTTTTTACATTTAAAGCAGCAAAACTCTACTAGACTTATTTGGTGTTTTGGGCTAAGTTATTTTTAAAAAGCTTTTAAGTGAATCTATTTTTGTGTTTTTGCTGAAGTGTTCTTAGGAGTTAAATTTTAAATTAGTAATAAAGCTATTGTGGCTTTATATTAATTATATAATCTATACACTATATATTATAAAAGGGATAGCTTTTTTACTAGCTATGAAGCATGTTTTATTACATTAAACCATAGACTGCCTTTAACTTCTAAATATCACCACAGTCTACCTCATACAGGCTTCAGAAATAATTCAATCATCCATTCAACAACACCAATAGCCTATTATAATCAAGCCTATGTGAAACACAGTGAATATAAAAATAAACTCTTGGACTCACTATGCTAGCTGCATAAAAGAAAATATTACTCTAGCAATATTTTTCTTATATCTTAGAATCTGTTTTGGTAAACATACACAAATCAGAAATCCAAGTGTTTCTCTTCTCCATACTGGAAATATCTATAGCAGGTTCTGCTCAGCAATTTTAAAAACTGACCATTTCTTGAGTGGCTTGTTCCCTGAAGATGAAAAAGAGCTGATATTTTCTAATATTTATTTACTTGGAGAAATAGCCAAAGGGAGGGGGAAAAAAAAAGGTCTGCAAGATCCTTTAACAGGAGATGTTGGGCACGCAGTCACCCATTTATGGAGCACCAAACAAGCTTAATGTGGTAAAGAAAACAAGATCACTAAGTCCATACATGCACCTGTAAAATCACTAATTCTGAGCTTCCTTCTCAACACATCACCTCACATCCTTCTACTGACCCCACTGCTCTTGCAAAGGTCTCTTGTCCCCTGCTATGGCAGAGAATATTGGCTGCCTATTCCAAGATCCATGTTCCCTCTTCCTCTGTATTAACAGATAGCCAACTTTTTTGCTACCAAAATTATAGCTCAGAATAAACAATTACATTATTTTGCAGCCAGGCCAGGTGATTTAAATTCTGTGGGACTTCCAGGAAGGCTGCTTAAAAAGAAAAGTGTCAGCTGTGTGGGATCCCTTTTTTAAATTAAATTCCTACCCCACCTTCTTGCCTACAATTCAGGCATGATGGCTAGAGCTCTAGCGTGTATAAAGTATATTTAGGATGGAAGGATGGAAACTTTAGTCCTTGATGACACCTTTGGAACTGCCCTACCTGCTAGGTGCATCTACCTCCAGCTTTCCTTTTTGTTGAAAAAAAAAAAAAAATGCTACCTTGTGTAAGCCACAATTATTTTAGATTTCCTGTTATATATGGTTGCACTTTATCATAATTAACAGACTATATATTCACAACCTTTTCACCTATATAACCCTGATAGTAGTTTAAATTGTTAAGTTATTCATTTCAAAGATGCCTTTTTTTTTTTTTTTTGAGGCAGGGTCTCACTCTGTCTCCCAGGCTGGAGTGCAGAGGATAGGGGGTGGGGTGAGGGTGCAATCACAGCTCACTGCAGCCTCACTCTTGGACTCAAGTGATTTTCCCACCTTAGCCTCCCAAGTAGCAGAGACTACAGGCTTGAGCCACCTCACCAGCTAATTTTTAAATTTTTCTGTAGAGATGGAGACTCGCTATGCTGTCCAGGCTAGTCTTGAACTCCCGGCCTCAAGTGATCATGCCACGTTGGCCTTCAAAGATGCTTTAACAACACCTTAGCAAACAAAACTGAAGTTTTATAATGCATATCTCAGTTCCACACTAAATTGTATTCTCCTAGTCACAAGGGCTTAAAATCTTGAAATCACTTTGACTCATCTCTCTAGTCTGTTACAATTTATCAATTTTCCCCCAAAATATCTTATCCATTCTCAAAAATTCCTTCCCATTCTGAAGTGTATTCTTTCCTCTTATATACAAATATTAGACATCAAATTCTATTTCAAGTTTCATCTCTTCCAAGAGGTGTTCCCTGGATTATTTACCTCACTTTTCCCTCTGTTTTCTGAATGTGCGGAACACATGCTCAGAAAGGGAGCATGGTGTGAAAAACGTTAGATCAGGCAGAGCTGTAAGGCCAAGTTAAAGGTTTTTGACTTGATCCTGAGAACAATGAGAAGCTGTTGACAGATTTTAAGAAGAAGGGAATAAGGTCACATGTCAATTTGTGTTTCAAAAATATTACTCTGACTGTGGAATAGAGTAGTTATTGGAGAAAATATCAATTCTACAGGTAATTCATTTGGAAGAAGGAGAGGATACCAGAAATAAAGGAGCTTGATAAAGCAGGCTTATTGTAAAGAGAGAACTCAAAACTCAATATTCTAGAAGAAAATGATAGTCATTTGAGTAAATATATGTTCACCACAGGAAAAAGCTGGTAAATATTTATTAAAAGAGCTACTGTGAGGCCAGGCGCGGTGGCTCATGCCTGTAATCTCAGCACTTTGGGAGGCTGAGGCAGGCGGATCACGAGGTCAAGAGTTCAAGACCAGCCTGGCCAACACAGTGAAACCCCGTCTCTACTAAAAATACAAAAATTAGTTAGGCATGGTGGTGCGTGGCCTGTAATCCCAGCTACTCGGGAGGCTGAGGCAGAAGAATCACTTGAACCCAGGAGGGAGAGGTTGTGGTGAGCTGAGATCGCGCCACTGCACTCCAGCCTGGGCAACAGAGCAAGACTCCATCTCAAAAAAAAAAAAAAAAAAGAGAGCTGCTGTGAAGAATTTAGTGCTCAATGTTCTCTTATCAAGAATGTAATGGCATTTACAATGCCAGAACTTGGACTGGATCTTGGTTTTAATAAAAATGCTACACAAGATTTTTAGGGACAATTGGGGAGGTCTGAATGTGAAAATATATTAGATTTTTTAAATTATTTTTGTTGGATGTGATAATATTATATAGAAAACTATCCTTATTCTTAGGAGATGTGTTCTTAAGCATTTAGGGGTAAAGTGCCATGATGTCTGAAATTTACTTCCAAATGGCTAAGGAAGAAGAGAATATCAATACGTAATATAGATTAAAAAAATATATATATATATATATTCATATATAAAATATACACACACAGAGGGGGGTTTGCTGGGTGATCAAAATTTTTTCATAATGAACTGTTGGAGGAAAAGAAGACTTAATGACTTTTCTTCTTAATTTAGTGAAGAGGGGCTTCTTTCCTGACCTATTTGTGGCATTGATATTCATTTACTTGATAATTTGAAATAAGTTTTTAAAATTATAGTTCCAAGGAAATCCGGGATTTTAAAAAGTAAAACATCACATAAGGATTTTAACCCAATAATTATCCCTTCTACAAGTAAACAGATCAATACTCTAACGCTCCCTTTAGTTTCAAGCCTGGCTACTACTGGATTCCATTCTCACTCTGATTAAGGGGGGCAGCTGCTGGTCCTCTTTCAACCTGGAGACATGTGATTGAATCATTCTCCAGCACCTATATTTATTAAACCTTTAATACAAAGTTATCAATCCCTCTTGCAGAGTCATTTCAAAGAACAGTAGATACACAATTTATTATCCAAATAATATTTTATTGTATTGTTCTTTTCTTTTTTAATAACGTTTTCCTCCAACACTGTGAGACTGTTGGCTAATTAAACCCTTGTTTTTACTGAACTTAACAGCTGACAGCAGCAGAAATGGATGCAAACAACTATAAACTATTTTCCCTCCTATCAGAAGAAAAATGCTTCCCCTGTGAAGCTAGAATACATACTTTCCCCACCTTTCAAACTATTTTCTGGGAAGAGAAATTCTTAGTAATAACAAGCTTTTCAACCTAAGCAATTAGAAAGCTTATTTCTGTAATCAGACCCAGCTAGACTTCTCACTCTTCTTTCAACATATTGACTGGGCATACAGGTGAAACTCCTTAACTTGGTCCAAACCTGTGCTTACAATCAGATTGTATAAAATTAATAAAAGAAAAAATAAAGGTCTGCATCAAAATGAATGTTAAGCACTTTCAACTTGCGCATTCACTGAAGAAAAAAATTTAAGGTCCTAAAACAAGGAGTTACAGCACTAGCACAATAACTCTAGGTTTTGTTAGGTTAATTTTAGATTATTGTATTTGTTTGCTACATTGGACATAGCAAGTGATACACTAGAAGTTTCCTCAAACTAGAATTAGGTAACAATGTAATTTCACAAGCTTACTCCATGAGGAATACCATTAGCATGGACTGAAAAAGAAAAGGAGAAAACTATCTCAATAGTTTAGATACCCAAATAGTTTTTTATTGTTGAGTGTGCTAAAAACCAATGAACACTAAACTTTACAAACATAAACCTTATGGTATGTGAATGATATCTCAACAAAGTGTTATTAAAAAAAATGTTTTAAGGAGTTAAAAAAAAAAAACTCCCTGTTCTAAAGGAGGACAAGAAATGACTGACAAAGGGGCCTGAAGAGATTATCCCTCTTGCTCAAATAAAGTAGTTTATCCCTTGTTAAGTAAGAATAAACTCTACTATGGCAATAGATGTGATAAGGAATTAAAACCACAGATAATTTCAAATCTTATTCTTGCAACAATTTTAACCACACTTTTCACCACAGCTTCTGGAAGGATGCCAAACAATTTTGTATCACATCACCTCCTTTAATCTTCCCACTCCCATGATAAAAAAAAATGGCTATGGTCAGTTGCAGTCAAAAAGGAATGTAAGCAGACGAGAACTTATGGAGAAATCAACTTAATTGCTCAGTATATTATTTGGACTTGTGGGCTGACTATAGGTTGATGCTTATCATGCATCTTATCCCCTCACTGTTAAACTCTTCTGTCACCTACTCTGCTTTTAAACTACCTCAAAGAGGCTGGGTGAGGTGGCTCATGCCTGTAATCCCAGCACTTTGGGAGGCCAACGCGGGCAGAACATGAGGTCAGGAGATCAAGAATATCCTGGCCAACATGGTGAAACCCCGTCTCTACTAAAATATAAAAAATCAGCCAGGCGTGGTGGTACGCGACTGTAGGACCAGCTACTCGGGAGGCTGAGCCAGGGGAATCGCTTGAACCCGGGAAGCGGAGATCGTAGTGAGCAGAGATCACGCCACTGCACTCCAGCCTGGCGACAGAGCAAGACTCTGTCTCAAAACAACAACGACAACAACAACAACAAATCCCTACCTCAAAGAAGGTTCAGGGTATGCAAGGATAGTTTCAATTCTTGAGGGATTTGTTGAGTATGAAATGTACTAGAAGAAAACAATGTGTTTGCTTTTCCATCTACTTAGAAAGGACTTCTCTTAATTTCAGTTTCTTTCAAAATTACTATAAGGAAGAAAACACTAAAGAGAGAGATCCTAAAGAGCCTTTTAAAGACAGTTATATTAAGAATTGCTCCTTGTGACTGCCTTTCTCATGGTAAATGGTTGTGGGCACACCACCTTAAGCAGATGAGAAAGAGCCAATAATAGTTGAGAATTAAGATAAGGCAGATGTAGTCTTCACCTTAACTCTAGCTGGCCCACTCTTGAGCAGATATGAGTGCTCTAAAAGTGAAACCCTGTGTTTTAATTCTAAGAAAAGGAAAATGGGGGAGGGGGGCCAGAGGGAACCTAAGTTTAATTATCAACAGTGATAGGAAAGGGAAGTCACCTTAAAGGTACATTATAAAATGAAGTTAGAAAGGATTTTTCACATCTACCATATCAATTCAAGTTTCATTTTCATTTAGGAAATGAATATTGTCTGTCCATGTTCTATCTTCAACACACAGTTATCCTAGGAGGTCATTTGATCTCAAACAAACAAGAGAGGCCAAGGTCCAGTATCAATTCCTATCCCACCATTCCTACCTAATCTCCTAGCAAGTTAATGCAAATCAAAGCAAGCACTTCAGTGCTGCTGGTAGTGAAGCCTGTTCCTTTCCCAAGAGAGGCCTGTAAAACAGGACAGTCACTGACAGCAGTACAATTACTGACACAGATACAGACTTTATGGACATGTTTATCTCTGCTGTAAATCCACACTCTCTCTCCACTCCGATTCACAAGTCATAAAGAAATTGCAGATAATGAAAAAGTTGGGGAAATTTACAGCATGTCGGAAACCTCAGACAGCCAGAAGAAATTAAAGAGCTGACTAGGGATAAATCACACAGGTACAATTAAAACTTCCCGTGTACCTCCTTCATTTCCAAACTGAGGCACAATCCAATGGAGCTGATGAAAAGTTGAGGTCATGACTCTGCAGGCTGTAATCATTTCTTAACTACATGTTAAAAATTAGCCAACTCATGGGTCATGTGTAAATGCTGATTTCTTGTTCCTATCTTGATTTCCTCCACTCTCCACTAAAAGAACCCACAGAGCAATTCTGTCTGTAAACAGGCCAAATTGCAACAAGCAATAAATGGAAAGGTGATGTCCCCTCTCCCACTGCCATCTCTGAAGGTGCAGGACATCTTTTACCATCGCCACTGTGGATTGAGCATTAAAATGAGAAAGTGGAGCTACAATGGGTGAACGAAATTGGAGGTTTCTTGTTCCCTGATAAATAACCATTCTGAAGGTTTCATTTGATCTCTTTTCAACATTCCAAAGGAAATTTTAAAGGACTGTTATGTTTGATACTAGAATAAGAATTACTTCTGGAGATACTTATTTTTCAATACTGGACTGAGTTCATGGCTCAGACTGTTATGTAACCATCTCTGCATGCACTGATTAATGTGTTAATTAATGTGCAGCTCTTGTTACAATAAAGCAAATCAGAAAAATACCAAAGATAAGAATTAATATCTATTTCTTAAATAATAAGGCTTAACAGATCCCCACTACTGAAAACTAGAAAGAATAAAGTGAGTTAATTTTTGGTACCTATATTCTAGAAGGCTTTTAACAAAATAGTATAGGAAGGGAAAAAAGGAACATTTTATCACATGCTGCTCTCTTCCATCTTCCCCAGCTTATTTAGATGCGACTAGCAGGTTTTAAAAACACCAACCCAATCACAAGATTTCTCTGCAAAGCAGAAATGTAGAACAGTTTTTACCAACTAACTTCTACATAACTGGACCAAATCAAGAGTGTCATTAAAGTTATACACAAGTCAATACTAATCTTTGTGTATCTCCATAGGATGAAGCCTCAACCAAATTAGCTCTGATAGATTTTGAAATTTTGAGCCCTGTCAAGAAATGGGTTGTTTTTTTTTTTAAAGATATGGAGGATGCAATTGACATGGTTTCGATTTTGCTCCTATCTGACCCCTTGTTGATTTGAGGTCCGTTTTACACTTCACAGAACCCAAATGTCATTTTCATTTTATATATTAAGATTTTATTCTCCTTGGAATAAAAATAGTTCTAAGGAAATGCTAAGAGTTTCAACACAGACTATCACTACCATAAAAAACTTAGGTCATGGCTGGGCGCGGTGGCTCACGCCTGTAATCCCAGCACTTTGGGAGGCCGAGGCGGGCGGATCATGAGGTCAAAAGATCGAGACCATCCTGGCTAACATGGTGAAAACCTGTCTCTACTAAAAATACAAAAATTAGCTGGGCATGGTGGCGCATGCCTGTAGTCCTAGCTACTCGGGAGGCTGAGGCAGGAGAATTGCTTAAGCCGGGGAGGCGGAGGTTGCAGTGAGCTGAGATTGTGCCACTACACTCCAGCCTGGCGACAGAGTAAGACTCCGTCTCAAAAAACAACCAACCAAACAAAAAAAATTTAGGTCATATGTAGTGCATGGATCTCAATTCTATTCACCCAATAAGCATAAGATGGTCCTTGATCTGCTTTTCTTTATAACAAAAAGTTCCTTAAGCTTCCAAGTGTCTTAAGTGTCAGACTGGTGTCCAGTATCAGCAGGAACTGTGAAATAAAGGTTATTTACAAGCTCCAAGAAGCAAATCATATTTTATCAAAAGAGCATTTGAGTGAAGCGAAGAGACATCCACTGTTACTATTATGAGGCAATGAAACCCCTGGATTAAGAATCAGAAGACCTGGACTCCAGCCCCAGTTTTACAAATAACTGTGACTCTGGGCAAATAATTGAAGCTCTCTGAACCTCAAGTTACCTCATCTGTTTAAATGGGAATAATAAAGAATAGTAGTGAGAATTAAATGAGTATACACATGTAAGAAACATAACAGGCTCATAAATGTTAACATGCCTTTCCCTTTTCATGATCTCAAGATTCAGATGCCAGGTTCTGTCACTAATGAGCTTTGTAGCTGTCTTTAGGTAAGTCACCTAAGATCTTTAGCCCTCTGTTTCTGCATCTGTTATATTACAGGGTTGTGACTCTATCTCTAAGATTCCTTCCAGCTTTAACATGCTATGATGATTGATTCTATCACTAAATTACTAGTTGGCCCTGGGAAAGTCACTTCTTTTAGGTCTTAGTTTCCTCATCTTTAAATCCTGGAAACTCAACCAACAGAAAAACAGACAAGGACTATAACAGTATAACAGAAAATTCATAAAAGGAGGAAAAACAAGTGGCCAGTAAACATTACTTTATTAGCAACCAAGAAATGCGTATTAAAAATACTGAAACATAATTTTTCAGCTATAAAATCGGCATGTATTAAAAAGTTTAAGCCTACGGCCAGGTGCGATGCTCACGCCTGTAATCCCAGCACTTTGGGAGGTCAAAGCGGATCACCTGAGGTCAGGAGTTCGAGACCAGCCTGGCCAACATGGTGAAATCCCGTCTCTACTAAAAATACAAAAAGTTAGCCAGTCGTGGTGGCAGGCGCCTGCAATCCCAGCTACTCGGGAGGCTGAGGCAGGAGAATCGCTTGAACCTGGGAGGCAGAGGTTGCAGTGAGCTGAGATCATGCCACTGCACTCCAGCCTGGGCAAAAAGAGTGAAACTCTGTCTCAAAAAAAAAAAAAAAAGTCACTTAAATAGCAAAGTTTATTCTTGGATATCCCTCAATCTCACTTAGAAACACCATAGCACTTAGGAATTCTAAGCTGACACCAGGGTTTACTCAAGATTGCTAACAGCCATGAAAAGCACAACTATACTGGACAATGGATGATGGGATTTGGGCTGGTTATTTGTTGCACGATAGCCTAGAAGGCAAATAGACAATAGGAATACTTAAGAATAAAAAATTTAATTTGTGGGCTGGGTGACGTGGCTCACACCTGTAATCCTAGCACTTTGGGAGGCCAAGGCAGGAGAAATGCTTGAGCCCAGGAGTGGGAGACCAGCCAGGCAACAGAGATCCTATCTCAATAAATAAATAAATAAATAATAAAAATTTTAATTCATAAATTATGTTTAAATTTTTGGTTGTCAATTCTACAATTAAAAGCCTATTTAGGGCCGGGCACGGTGGGTCATGCCTGTAATCCTAGCACTTTGGGAGGCCAAGGCGGGTGGATCACTTGAGGTCAGGCATTTGAGACCAGCCTGACCAACAAGGCAAAACCCCATCTCTAAACAAAAAAAATTAGCCACGCGTGGTGGCACATGCCTGTAATCCCAGCTACTTGGGAGGCTGAGGCACGAGAATCACTTGAACCTTCCGGGTGGAGGTTGCAGTGAGCCAAGACCACTGAACTCCAGCCTGGGTGACAGAGTGAGACTCCGTCTCAAAAAAAAAAAAAAAAAAAAAAAATGGCCAATTTAGGCTAGGTGTGGTGGCTCATGCCTGTAATCTCAGCACTTTGGGAGGCCAAGGCGGGCAGATCACCTGAGGTCAGGAGTTTGAGACCAGCTTGGCCAACATGATGAAACCCTGTCTCTACTAAAAATATTAAAATTAGCCAGGAGTGGTGGTACACGCCTGTAATCCTAGCTACTTGGGAGGCTGAGGCAGGAGAATCGCTTGAACCCAGGAGGCAGAAGTTGCAGAGTTGCAGTGAGCTGAGCCACTGCACTCCAGCTTGGCAAAAGAGCGAGACTGTCTCAAAAAAAAAAAAAAAAAACCAAAAAATGCCTATCTAATAAATTCCTCATTCCCTAATATGTGTTCATGTAATTTATTTATTTTTTTTGAGACAGGGTGATATGGTTTGGCTCTTTGTTCACATCCAAATCTCATCCTGTAGCTCCCATAATTCCCACGTGTTGTAGGAGAGACCTGGTGGGAGATAACTGAATCACGGGGGCAGTTTCTCCCATACTGTTCTCCTGATAGCAAGTGGGTCTGCATGAGATCTGATGGTTTTAAAAGGAGGAGTTTCCCTGCCCAAGCTCTCTTTTTGCCTGCCGCCATCCATGTAAGACGTGATGTTTTCCTCCTTGCCTTCTGCCATGATTGTGAGGTCTCCCCAGCTATGTGGAACTGTAAGTCCATTAAACCTCTTTTTCTTCCCAGTCTGGGGTATGTCTTTATCAGCAGCATGAAAACAGACTATACATAGGGTCTCACTCTGTCCCCCAGGCTGGAGTAAAGTGACATGGTCACAGCTCACTGCAGCCTCGAATTCCTGGATTCAAGGAATCCTCTTGTCTCAGCCTCCCAAGTAGCTGTGACTACAGGTGTGTGTCACCACACCTGGCTAATTATTTTTTGTACAGATGGGTTCTCACTATGTTGTTTGGGTTAATATCAAACTCTTGTGCTCAAGTGAGCCTCCTGCCTCAGCCTCCCAGAGTGTTGGGATTACAGGTGTGAGCCACTGTGCCCGGCTGCATGTAATTTAGAAATACAGAAAAGCAGTCTGGGATCCAACATATAAGCACCTCTTCATCTTCCCACCAACTCACAAACCTGATCTTCATCTATCCTCTCTCATTTCCCTTGTTATACAAGAGTAGACAAAGTAGCTCTCTTCCAATCTAAAGCCAACACATCCATATTCTAAGTGCTATGCCTTCAAACCCTCTCAGAAACCTTACTTATATTTGATTCACCTGCGCCCTCTCAGAAACCTTACTTATATTTGATTAACCTGCATCTTCTATCGTGGCATTGAGATTTAAATATATATTAAGTCTATCATCCTAAAGCAACTAAACTCTGACTCCACTTCTCCCACTAGCTTTCACCCTTTGTCCCTCTTAAGAGTCAAACTCTGAAAGAATTATCTCCCTATCCTGTTTCCATTTCCTACCTTCCACTCATTCCTCACTCCATTTCAAACTGCCTCCACCATCCCACTAAAACTAACTCACTCATTCATACATTTAACTGCCTAAACAATGTCTCCAGTTAACAACCAAAGCCAAACCCCATGTCAAAAACTAAATGCATAATCTTTCCTTACAATCTGTTCCTCCTCCAGGGTTGTTGTTTTTGTTTTGTTTTGTTTTGTTTTTTTAGACAGAGTCTTGCTCTGTTGCCCAGGCTGGAGTGCAGTGGTGCGATCTTGGCTCATTGCAACCTCAGTCTCGCAGGCTCAAGATTCTCATGCCTCAGCCTCCTGAGTAGCTGGGATTACAGGCGTGCACCACCACAGCAGGCTAATGTTCTGTACTTTTTAGTAGAGACGAGGTTTTACCATGTTGGCCAGGCTGAACTTGAAATCCTGATCTCAAGTGATCTGCCTGTCTCAGCCTCCCAAAGTGCTGGGATTACAGGCATGAGCCACTGCACCCAGCCACAGCGTTCTTTAGTAAAAAGCTTTACTGAGATATAATTCACATATGATAATGCACATATTTGAAGTGTATAGTTTGGTATGTTTTGACAGATGTATTCCACACTACAGAGGCAAGATCCTTTTGAGTCCTCCCTGGTGTCCTGTGAATGATGAGGTTTCTCCAGTCCAGTGGGAGTAGGCACTATTACTGGCCCAGTGGTGCCAGGCACTGTTCCTTCCAATCCTTTTGGATGGTTCTTTCTTCATCCTCAAGAAGCTCCCTCACATGAATGTGCTGATCAGTCCTCAGCTAAATACTCCAGGAGGACCCTCTGTGGATCTCTCTTCTTTCTCTGTGCCGCCCTCTCCTCTCCGGTACTCTGCTGTCCTGTGAACTCTAGCTGTCTTGGCCTCTCCACACTCTCAGCTCCATTTCTTCAACTCAGGAAGCCCACCAGCCTCTGCCTGGGTCCCTCTCCCTGCACCACAGCCTGGAAATTCTTTCAAAGCAGTAAGCTTGGGGCAGTCACAAAGTTCACCTTTCTCTTTAGTGATTACTGTCCTTTGTTGCCTGATGTCCAGCATCCTGAAAATCATTATTTCATATATTTTCCATTTAAAAAAACTGTTTCAGGTAAGAAGGTGAATCTAGTCCCTGACATACCAAGTTGACCAAAAGCAGAGGTCCCTCCAATGTTCTTTGCATGCCACTGACTTACATGCTCAAGAGAAATCTAGGAGTCATCCCTGACACCCTTCTCCCCTTTCCCACAGCCAGTCCATCAAGACTTATTCTCTGTCCCAGACAGGCGTGGTGGTTCATGCCTGTAATCCCAGCACTTTGGGAGGCCAAGATGGGAAGAGTGCTTGAGGCCAGGAATTCAAGATCAGCCTGGGCAACATAGCAAGACCCCATCTCAAAAAAAAAATTAAGTTTAAAAAAAGACTTATTCTGTGTCCTAAGTCATTCTCAAATTAACTACTTCTCTCCATGTCCACTACCAGTACCCTAGTTCCAGGCAGCAGTCTTAGCTATTGCAATGACTTCCTACTTTATTTCCCTAGTTCCTCACTTGCCTTCCTGCAAACCATTTTTTACATGATCAGAAACTGAATATTGTTTGCTTAAAGCCTTTCAGTGGCTTCCCAGTGCTCTCAGTATAATACCCAAAATCCTTAGTAAACCTAAGAAATCTCACATGAGCCAACCTGTCTATCTCACCAGTCACTGTCTGAATTCATATTAGTCTTCTTTCAGTTCTTCAAAGACACTGTGCACCTTCCCACTACCAGACTTTGCTGTTCCCTTCTGAAAGCTCATCTCCGTTCTCTCCACCCAGTTAACTCCTACTCATTCTTCATACCGAAATATCTTTTTCTCAGGAGACCCATCCCTGCCCTCTTAGGCCTTGTCCCACATTGTACTTAGAACAATATCTCAGCAAATAATTATTTGTGTAAGGCCTTATCTACTAGAATGTTAGCTTTATGACAGCAGGAACTATATCTGTCTTATTTACTGCTAAGTCCTTGCTGCCTAGCATAGTACTCTGAAGTTACATAATAAATATTAACTGTATGAATTAGAAACACTAGGCCTTAATATAGTAGAATTTTAATGCTGTAAGGACCTTAGAGGTCTTCTATTCCAACAACTTCATTTTTTCAGCTCAGGAAATTGATGACCAAGGTCACGAAGCTAAATTTCTGATAAAGGTGACACTATGTAATAATATTTTAAATTTATTGGTAGCTTGCTAGGTGTCAAACACCATACTAGCTAGTTTTTGATTGAGGTGAAATTCACATTTTTGAAGTATACAATTCAGTGGCATTTAGTGCATTCACAATGTTGTGCAATCACCACTTGTATCAAGTTCCAAAACATTTTCACCTTCCCCACAAAAATCCCAAATCCATAAAGTAGTCACTCCCCATTCCACACTTTCTCTAGGCCCTGGGAACCACCAATCTGCCTTTTCATGTCTTCTGGATCTACCTACCCTAGATGTTTCATGTAAATGAAATCACACATTATGTGTCCTTTTGTGTCTAACTGCCTTCATATAGTATAATATTTTGAAGATTTATTTATATGTTGTAGCATCAGTACTTCATTCATTTGAATGGCTGAATAATATTCCACTGTATGGATATACCACATTTTGTTTATTCATTCATCTGTTGATGGACACTTGGGTTGTTTCTACCTTTTGGCTCTTGTGAATAGTACTGATGTGAACATTTGTGTAGAAGCATTTGTTTGAGTACCTGTTTTCAATTCTTTTGGGTATAAACCTAGCAATGGAATTGCTGGGCATATGGCAATTCTACCTTTTAACCTTTTGAAGAAATACCAGTTTCCCACAGGGAGTATACCATTTTACATAGCCACCAGCAATGTATGAAGGTTCTAATTTCACCATATCCTTGCCAATACCTGTTACTTTCTGTTTTTGTTTTGGGGTTTCTTTAATTATAGCCATCCTAGAGGGTATAAAGTGGTATCACCCTGGTTTTGATTTGGATTTCCCTAACGACTAATGATGTTGAGTATCTTTGCATGTGCTTGTTAGCCATTTGTATTTCTTCTTTGGAGCAATGTCTAGTCAAGTCCTTTGCTCATTTCTTTTTTTTTTTTTTAATACTTTAAGTTTTAGGGTACATGTGCACAACGTGCAGGTTAGTTACATATGTATACATGTGCCATGTTGGTGTGCTGCACCCATTAACTCATCATTTAACATTAGGTATATCTCCTAATACTATCCCTCCCCCCTCCCCCCACCCCACAACAGGCCCCGGTGTGTGATGTTCCCCTTCCTGTGTCCATGTGTTCTCATTGTTCAATTCCCACCTATGAGTGAGAACATGCGGTGTTTGGTTTTTTATCCTTGTGATAGTTTGCTGAGAAAGATGGTTTCCAGCTTCATCCATGTCCCTACAAAGGACATGAACTCATCATTTTTCATGGCTGCATAGTATTCCAGGGTGAATATGTGCCACATTTTCTTAATCCAGTCTATCATTGTTGGACATTTGGGTTGGTTCCAAGTCTTTGCTATTGTGAATAGTGCCGCAATAAACATACATGTGAATGTGTCTTTAAAGGCAACCTACACAATGGGAGAAAATTTTTGCAATCTACTCGTCTGACAAAGGGCGAATATCCAGAATCTACAATGAACTCAAACAAATTTACAAGAAAAAAACAAACAACCCCATCAAAAAGTGGGCGAAGGATATGAACAGACACTTCTCAAAAGAAGACATTTATGCAGGCAAAAGACACATGAAAAAATGCTCATCATCACTGGCCATCAGAGAAATGCAAATCAAAACCACAAATGAGATACCATCTCACACCAGTTAGAATGGCAATCACTAAAAAGTCAGGAAACAACAGGTGCTGGAGAGGATGTGGAGAAATAGGAACACTTTTACACTGTTGGTGGGACTGTAAACTAGTTCAACCATTGTGGAAGTCAGTGTGGTGATTCCTCAGGGATCTAGAACTAGAAATACCATTTGACCCAGCCATCCCATTACTGGGTATATACCCAGAGGATTATAAAACATGCTAATTTCTTAATTGGGCTGTTTTTTTGTTGTTGAGTTCTAAGAGTTCTTTATTTATTCTGGATACTGGCCCCTTATCAGAAATATAATTTGCAAAACTTTTCTCCCATTCTGTTGGTTGTCTTTTTGCTTTATTGATAATGCCCTTGGACACACAAAAGTTTTTAATTTTAATGAAGTTCAACTTACCTATGTCTCCTTTTGTTGTTTGTGCTTTTGGCATCATATCTAAACCCATGGTCACTTCTTTATCAAGAGCCTCTCAGCTTTTTTTTTTTTTTTTTTTTTTTGAGACAGGGTCTTGCTCTGTCACCCAGGCTGGGGTGCAGTGGTGCAATCTTGGCTCACTGCAACCTCCACCTCCCAGGCTCAAGTGATTCTCTGACCTCAGCCCCACTGAGTAGCTGGGATTATAGGTGCACATCACCATGCCCAGCTAATTTTGCATTTTTTGCAGAGATGGGGTTTCATCATGTTGCCCAGGCTGGTCTCAAACTCCTGAGCTCAAGCAATCCTCCCACCTCAGCCTTCCAAAGGGCTAGGGTTACAGGCATGAGCCACTACACCTACCCAGGAGCCTCTTAGCTTTTACTGGCTCTTTGATTTTCTATAAAATTTTAAAATGAACTTTCAAGTTTCAAGAAATTTTGGGGGATTGTAATTTGAATTATATTAAATTCACGAATGTTTCTGGGAGAAACTGAATCTTTAAGATACTGAGCTTTCTAATCTACTTACAGTATTTATTCATATTCACTCATTTGGTCTTTTACAAAGGCTCTCCATGAAGTGTTATTGTATAACTATAGAGATCTTACATACATCATTCTGTAGATGTACTACATCTTTATTACTGTCTGACATCTTAGATGGTATTTTTAATTTCTTTTTTTCTGTTTGTCTTGGATATAGAATTTGGTTAGTCTATTTATTTTGTTTCCAGGAACCTAGCTCAATTCTTTTTTGATTCCAGTAACATATCTGAACATTACAATTTGGAAATGAATAAAGTCCATGATCATCTTGTAAAAAAAATAAATAAATAAAAATCCATGGCCAAATCCAAGATCATGAAGACTCATACTAAGCATTTTATAATCATCATCCAATTTAACTCTCTCAACAGCTCATTAAGAGGCATTATTATTACCTTAATTTCACAGAAAAGGAAAATGAAACTCAGAGAGAGGTTATTTATCAAGTCAGTAAGTAGAACAGATCTACTTCCAATAACCAGGATCTCTGAAATCCCAGGCTAGTTTTCTTTATACTCACATGGCAATGTGCTTCTCTGGGGGATGAAGGGGAGAACAGAAGCCATGGTCTTTTGGTAACTTAATCTCAGAAGTGGGATTCCATCACTTTTACTATCATTAGGTCCAGCCCACCCTCAAGAGATGATTAAACAAGGGCACACTAGTAGCAGGGATCACTGGGGACCGTCTTAGAGGGTGCCTACCACACCACGGTTCTATATTTAATGCTACACATCCTCCTGGCTTCTCTCATCTATGGCTTTAAATAAAACCTATGGATCAAGGATCCAAATTCCCTGTGCTCTAGTATCTATTCAATTGTCTCCTAGGTATTTATTTCCACCTAGATAGCCTACAGATACACTTATAAATGAACTCCCAAATCTTTCTTCTCAAAGGTCTTCTTCTTCCTATATACACCTAAGCTAGAAACCTAAGAATTGTTCTTGGTTCCTCATTCTTACTGCCCAGGACTTCCCAATCCCAATATATCCAATCAGTCACTAAAACTTTCCATTCTCCTACTAGGATTTATAGAACCCATCCTTTATGCTCCAGTAATATTTCTACTGTCTTAGTTCAAGGGCTTACCATTGTAGTCTAGTTTACTAAAGTAATCTAACTCATCTCCCTGTTGCTATTTTCATTCCTCACCAATCTACCTTCTACCATGTTAGCAAAGTGACCTAAGAATGTAAATATGATCAGATGTCTACCATGCTTAAAATTTCTCATATGCTGCTCATAAGAGTAACAACAGTTAATAGTTTTTAAGAACTTATTAAGATCCAGACAGTGAGCTAAGAGTTTTATAAATAAGGCTGTATCAAATCATCAAAATAATACTCTAAGGCAACAAATCTCAAAGTGTGGTCAGGGAACACCTGCAGATCCTGGGCTCGCCATACTTCTTTTGGGGGTCCACTAGGTCAAAACTGGTTTTTGTTTTTGTTTTTGTTTGTTTGTTTTGTTTTTTTGAGACAGAGTCTCACTCTGTCACCCAGGCTGGAGTGCCGTAGCACATGATCTTGGCTCACTGCAACCTCTGCCTCCCAGGTTCAAGCAATTCTCCTGCCTCAGCCTCCCAAGTATTTGGGATTACAGGTGCCTGCCACCATACCCAGCTAATTTTTATATTTTTAGTAGAGACAGGGTTTCACCATGTTGGTCAGGCTGATCTCAAACTCCTGACCTCAAGTGATCTGCCCATCTTGGCCTCCCAAAGTACTGGGATTACAGGTGTGAGCCACTGCACCCGGACAGGTAAAAATTATTTGTATAATACTAAGATGCTCTTTTCACTCATACTCTCACAAGTGTCCAGTGAAATTTTCTAGAGCCTAAAATATCCTAACATATTTTAAATAAAATAGAAACAAAGAATACTACAATGAATAATCATATACTCTTCACCTGCTCACCAACTGTTAACATTACACACTTGCTTCATCTATTTATATTTTTAAATTTTGTTGTTTTATTCCTGAGCTATCTGAGAGCTAGCTGCAGACACCATGATAGTTCATCCCTAAATACTTCAGCATTGTCTCCTAAGAACAAGGATATTCTCCTACATAGCTACAATATAATTAACAAACTCAAAAAATTTAACACAATACAATTATCTGATTTTCAATCCATAATAAAATATCTCCAATTTGAACATAAGTTTTAAATTTTACTACAGTTCCGTTTAGCAATATTCTCCTTTTTGGTTAATGACACTCCTGTTCTTTTAATTTGGGTTATAATAATGTCAAAGCTGTAGCATCTCAGAAATAAAATACTACATTACTAGTGTGAATTCTTTTCTTCCTCAACCTCTTCTCATGGGAATATGAGAATATTGTTACTGGTTACATGATAAACAAAAATTCCAGTGGAGAAAGTGAAGGTGTGTTTGAGACCAGCCTGTCCAACATGGTGAAACCCCGTCTCCACTAAAAATCCAAAAATTAGCCACGCGTGGTGTGCGCGCCTGTAATCCCAGCTATTCGGGAGGCTGAGGCAGGATAATCACTTGAACCCGGGAGGCAGAGGTTCCAGTGAGTTGAGATGGCGCCACTGCACCCCAGCCTGGGTGACGGAGTGAGACTCCGTCTTAAAAAAAAAAAAAAAAGAAAGTGAAGGTGTGTTTTCCTCTTTCCTTAACTCACTGTTTTCTTGATTTGATGTGTAAGTTTTCTGACAAACTTGTTGAGTGATATATTTTTTAATGTATTACCATCATTATTTGAAAATTTTTGGAAAACCACTTTCCTGGAAAAACCAAAGCATCTTTAACTATTTTCTTTAACTATTTGCTAACTAACTTCGGCACTATGTGATAAAAGCATTTGCAATAATGACTTCACTATTCAGTTGATGCATTAAAGTATCTTAGAATTGGAAAGGAACGAATAAGGAAAATGTTAGTCTCACATTAGTCATTAAAACTTGCATCACTTACTTATGAAATCAATAGATGAAATCTGTTTGTTACATGCATGAAAATCATTATGGCTAGTGGTATAAGAAATATAGAGTAAATCAATAATATAGAATGGAAACAGCAGATCTAAGCAATGGAGAATTGCTGAATAGAGAAAAGTTGTTTGGGTGGGGACAGGGAAACCTCTGGGAATTATATGGGAGCCACTGATTTCTGTTGGGTTATAATGATTTAGGTCAATGCTCTGCTGATAGAATTTACAACTTGACTCCAAGGGGAAAATCTACTGTGTATAGTTTATTTTTAGAAATACTTGTGCCTACTACATGGTTTTTTTTGGAATAGTTTTAAGCTTTTTTTCTTTCTTTGAGACAGAGTCTCCCTGTGTTACCTAGGCTGGACTCAAACTTCTGGGCTCAAATGATCCTCCCACCTCAGCATCCAGAGTAGCTGAAACTACAGGTGCATACCACTGAGCCTGGCTTGAAACTTTTTTTTTTCTTGAGACAGAGTCTCGCTCTGTTGCCCAGGCTGGAATGCAGTGGCTCACTGCAACCTCCTCCTCCTGGGTTCAAGTGATTCTCCTGTCTCAGCCTCCTGAGTAGCTGGGACTACAGGCGCACGCCACCAAGCCCAGCTAATTTTTTTTTTTTTTTTTTGAGAGGGAGTCTCACTCTGTTGCCCAGGCTGGAGTGCAATGGCACGATCTCGGCTCACTGAAACCTCCGCCTCCCAGGTTCAAGCGATTCTCCTGCCTCAACCTCCCGAGTAGCTGGGATTACAGGCACCCACCACCAAGCCCGGCTAATTTTTGTATTTTTAGTAGAGACGGGGTTTCACAATGCTGGCCAGGATGGTCTCGAACTCCTGACCTCAGGTGATCTGCCCACCTCGGCCTCCCAAAGTGCTGGGATTACAGGTGTGAGCTACCACGCCTGGCCTACTTTTTGTATTTTTAGTAGAGACAGTGTTTCACCATATTGGTCAGGCTGGTCTCGAACTCTTGACCTTAGGTGATCCACCGGCCTTGGCCTCCCGAAGTGCTGGGATTACAGGTATGAGCCACTGCGCCTGGCCAAAACTTTTTTAAAGATTTCAAATTTCAACAAATAAAAAGTTGGGGGAAAAAACTCTTTGGTTCATTAAAACATACCATTAAGAAAATTAAAAGGGAAGCTACAAAGTGGAATATTTGCAATTTATGTGACTGACAAAGGGTGGATATCCAGAATATATAAACAGTACTTACAAATCATTTTTTTAAAGACTGATAATCCAAGCCAGGCTCAGTGGCTCATGTCTGTAATCCCAGCACTTTGGGAGGCCGAGGCAGGCGGATCACCCGAGGTCATGAGTTTGAGACCAGCCTGGCCAACATGGTGAAACTCCATCTTTACTAAAAATACAAAAATTAGGCACACGTGGTAGCGTGCACCTGTAATTCCAGCTACTTGGGAGGCTGAGGCAGGAGAATCGCTTGAACCCAGGAGGTAGACATTGCAGTGAGCTGAGATCGTGCCATTGCACTCCAGCCTGGGCGACAAGAGTGAAACTCCATCTAAAAAAAAAAAAAAAAAGAATAATCCAGTAATCCAGTTTTTAAAGATGGGCAATGGGCAAGAGACACTAATAAGGACTTCACAAAAGATGTTATCCAAATGGCCAATAAACATACAAAAAGGTGCTCAACCTCATTAGTCATTAAGGAAATGCAAATTAAAACCACATTAAGATACCATTTATTAGAACGACTAGAAGTTAAAAGACTGAGAATACACCTGTTGGTAAGGACTTGGAGCAACTGAAATTGCTGATAGGTTTGTAAATTGATATAACCACTTTGGAAAACTATTAATATTTGGAAGTACCTACTAAAGCTAAATATACATATACCCCTATGATCTAGCAATTCCACTTCCTAGTTATATATCCAATGAAAATGCATGTACGGCCCAGGTGCGGCGGCTCATGCCTGTAATCCCAGCATTTTGGGAGGCCAAGGCGGGCGGATCACGAGGTCAGGAGATCGAGACCATCCTAGCTAACACAGTGAAACCCTGTCTCTACTAAAAATACAAAAAAAATTAGCTGGGCGTGGTGGGGGGGCGCCTGTAGTCCTAGCTATTCGGGAGGCTGAGGCAGGAGAATGGCATGAACCCAGGAGGCGGAGCTTGCAGTGAGCCAAGATGGTGCCACTGCACTCCAGCCTGGGCAACAGAGCAAGACTCTGTCTCAAAAAAAAAAAAAAAAAAAGAAAGAAAATCCATGTACCAAAAAAAGATATATATCAAAAATACTAACAGTATTTATTTGTAATAACCAAAAGCTGGAAATAGTCCAAATATCCATCATTAGTAGAACGAGGAAATAAATTGTGGTAACTTCTTACAATGAAATACTATATAGCAATGGGAGAAAACCCAAATGATATGGCCGATGTCATAATTTAAACGCTGATCAAAAGTCAGACACAAAAGAGTATGTGATTTGTTATTCCATTTACATAAAGTTCAAAGATAAACAAAATTATTCTATGATAGTATAAGTCACAGTAATGCTTTGAGAGGAAGGGGCAAGTAGGGACTAGAAGGGGCACAAAGGAGATTTTGTATTTATGTACTAGAAAGGTGTTTTGTTTTGAGATAGGGTCTCACTCCTGTCACCCAGGCTGGAGTACAATGGTGTGATCTTGGTTCACTCCAGCCTTGACTTCCCAGGTTCAGGTGATCCTCCCACCTCAGCCTCCCAAGTAGCTGGGACTACAGGTGTACACCAGCAGGCCCGGCTAATTTTTGTATTTTTTGTAGACACTGGATTTTATCATGTTGCCCAGGCTGGTCTGGAATTCCTGAGCTCAAGTGATCTGCCAGCCTCAGCCTCCCAAAGTGCTGGGATCACAGGCATGAGCCACAGCACCAGGCGCAACGTTCTGTATCTTGATCTGTTTTGACCAACGGTTACAGGGGAGTGTTAATTTTATGAAAATCATTGAGTTGTACATTATAATTTGTGTGCTTTTCTTTATATACATTATACTTCAATGTTAAAGCTTATTAAAGAACAAAAAATGATGGGACAGTAGAATATTTTTATATTCTGAATCAGATTGAATTCTCATTTTAGCTCTTTCCTCTTTTTATTTACTTATTTTTTGACACAGGGTCTCACTCTGTCATCCAGACTGGAACGCAGTGGCATGATCATAGCTCACTGCAGTCTCAAACTCCTGGGCTCAGGTGATCCTCCCACCTCAGCCTCCCCAGTAGTTGGAACTACAGGAATTTTCAGCTTGTCCGGCTCTCTTTTCTCTTTTCATTCAATATCCAAAACTTCAACCTATCAGATTCAACTCTCCATTGAAAGGACGTCTTTACCGTTATCCAACCATTCAGTCTTAAACGTGTCCTCCTACAATAGAGTCAGTCAAATACAACTACACCTGAGAAAACAAATCATTACTTCTATTTTATTTTTCAAATTTTTTTTGGTTATACCAAACCGAAAAGTAACAAGCTTTTAGTTTAGACTTAACAGTTAGAGATACTTCTCTTATACATATGCCAAAGTCATTATTTCTCCAGATTTCCTGTGACAAAGTATTTTGTGATCATTTATAAATTCCCATGCATTATCGCTACCTTCCAGATCATATTATCAACACAAACCAGTGGAAAGTACCAGAAAGAAATAAAGAAACGGGCACTACATTTGAAATACAAAAACACTCCTTATTTTGTTGAAATTTCTAGAACATCAATAACTAAAAAACAAACGAAAGCAGAAAAATGCCAATTTATTTCCCCATGGGCAGAAACAGTCATTCTTAAACCCAAAGCCTGGAAAGAAACTGAACTCCTATGAACACTTTTGTAATCACTTTAGTTCTCATCACCTCTTTGTTATACAAAAACTACTTTCAAAGCCCCCCCGCCAAAAAAAAGAAATCCAGGTCCATTTCACCTCTCAGCCAAACAGCTGCAGTTCTATTTAAGATTGACAGACATTCCAAATGGTTCTTTGCTCCTACTGAGTACTTAATACCAAGAGTTCACAGTTCTCCAACTACAGTGAAGACAGCCCGAAAACATAAAGTAACATCTTGGCCAACATTTGCTTAAGAAAATATGCTTCTTTGGCCAACTAAATCGTCTCTTGCCCATGACCCAACAGCCTACCATTTCTTTTGCTCTCAATTCCTACTTATGCAAGCACATCCTGAGTATGGGAAATGAGATATGTATGGGAAACATTCACCTTGCTATTTATCACTTGTATAAACTGATCAATTGTTAATGGATCTACTCATTTTTATTTAGAAACAGTCCACAGAAGAGCTCAAAAATTTAACTGCCTAGAAAATTCAGAGATTTAAGTACAATTTTGTTTCTAAAATGGCATACAACTTTTCCTTATTTTTTTAAGTAGTATTTTTTTCCTATTCAACAGACTAGAATGTGTTTTTGTTAATTTGGAAAATTCAGAAAATTTTAAAAACCACTCAAGATAGTCATTAAAACATACTGGTGTATTTCCTTCCAGCCATTTGTCTATGTCCATGCTCTCAAAAGAAAAAAAAAAAAAAACACCTGCTGTAAAATTGTATGTTCTGCATTTTGTCACTTGCTATTATCCTTATATATAATGAATACCTTTCTGTCATGAAATGCCCTTTA
Organism: Homo sapiens; assembly: GCF_000001405.40. Taxonomy (NCBI): domain Eukaryota; kingdom Metazoa; phylum Chordata; class Mammalia; order Primates; family Hominidae; genus Homo; species Homo sapiens. The sequence continues at coordinate 74,116,740 of NC_000014.9, read as the reverse complement.
GTGCTTTTTTTCTTTTCTTTTTTTTTTTTTTAGAGACATAGTCTTACTCTGTCACCCAGGCTGGAGTGCAGTGGCACAATCTTGGCAGCTCACTGCAAGCTCCACCTCCCAGGTTCAAGTGATTCTCCTGCTTCAGCCTCCAGAGTAGCTGGGATTACAGGTGTCCACCACTACGAGTGACTAATTTTTGTATTTTTAGTAGAGACGGGGTTTCACCAGCTTGGCCAGGCTGGTCTCGAACTCCTGATCTCAAATGATCCGCCTACCTCAGCCTCTCAAAGTGCTGGGATTACAGGCGTAAGCCACAGTGGCCAGCCCCTTTAATGTTTTTTAATGACCACATTGTATTCTACTGTATGGGTAACACTATAATTCACCTGGTATTTCCCAAATGTTGAACTTTGTTTTATTATGTATTTTTTTTATTTTTTATTTTTTGAGACAGAGTCTCACTCTGTTGCCCAGGCTGGAGTGCAGTGGCTTAATCTTGGCCCACTACAACCTCCACCTCCTGTGTTCAAGCGATTCTCATGCCTCAGTCTCCCCAGTAGCTGAGACCACAGGCATGTGCCACCACACCCGGTTAATTTTTGTATTTTTAGTAGAGACAGGGTTTCACCATGTTGGCCAGGGTGGTCTCAAACTCCCAATCTCAGGTGATCTGCCCACCTTGGCCTCCCAAAGTGCTGGGATTATGGCATGAGCCACCATGCCTGGCCCATTTTCTTATTTATCACACTTTCTGCAGAATTACATGGAATGCTACTTTGAAACCAACACCATCCAAATTAATTTATACTCTGCCTACTCTCCAACCCCCTTCCCCTACAAAAAATCAGAAGAGAATGAAACACCACAAGCATTTTATGGTAAAATCCTCTTTGTGTGTAAAGCCATTTCAGAGGCAATGTTGGGTTTATGAAATAACTTGACTAACGGATAAAAGATTTGAATGTTTACAAGCCTTAAAGGTAATTTGAAGATTTGTATATCCTAATTTGTTAACCAAGGGAAAAATGAGAAATAATGGCATGGTTTACTTCACATTATCATAAAACATTTCAAAAAATAAAATACTTAAGGCTAAATTGACAATTTCTAATTAAGAATAACCATGATCCCTTCAAAGTGGAGTTCCTAGATTTTATGCTGTAACCTAAATAGGTGCAAAGCTAATGACTATGGCAAGATGGTAAAGTAATGCATAAAACAAAGAAAACAAGGATAAGTTTCCATCAGTATTTGCAATGCAGATTTCAACACAGTCTTTGGGGTGCTTTTCAATCAAGTTCTCTGGCTTTATTTTTCAGGTTAAAATAATTTAAATTTATACTTTCTTGAACTTCCAGCCCTCATCAACAGATAGGATCAAGAAACATGGAAAAAAAAAGTTCGCCTTCACAATAGAAGAAATGAACATTAGAACAAGACAATATTTTGCCTATCAAGTTGGCAATGACTTTAAATAATTATAATACTTGTTATTAGCAAGGATATGGAGTGGGGAGTACCTTTTTGGAAGATAATTTGGCAATCTGTTTCCCTCTCAATCACTAATTTCCAATTGCATGTAAATTGCAGTCATAATACCTAATGGGAATTATCCCAGTGCTGATATAATCCAATGTCGCTTATTTAAAACATGAGCAACAACAAATATTTTGGACCAATTCCTGTTACTTCAAATTTAAACTTCTGAAACTTTTTTCCAGTTAACAAAGAATTGGATGTCTACTGTATAGAGAGGCCATAACAACTTTTTAAACTTGTAGGAAAGTTCAGGAAAAGTTCATAGGTAGGGAACCGAAAGAAAAAGCACTATTGTGGAAGAAAACCATACAAAAGTCAGTCATTCTACTTAGCAGCCTAATGACCAGCCAAAGAAAATAGGGACTTCACAAGTCAACTTCTGAAGTTATGTACATCCTATTTCACATATTGATTTCTTTGAGATCAAATAACTCACCATTCACTATCTAAAACATTACCTGTTGCCTAGGTAATATGACTGAACTAGATATCTTATTAATAACACTAACCTCTAGCCTCTACAAATGACATTTACTTATTTCTAAGAAAATAAAGATGCCTGCCTACAAAGGAGCAAGTAAAAGAATTATGTGATTTTTGTTGTTGTTGTTGTTGTTAAGCAGGCATCTAGCCTCCTTCTGACTTCCCTGTCATTAATTAGGCTAAAACATCATGGTAAGCTCTAATTTCAGCTTATCCCGTAACATCCCCATCCAGACATTTACCTACTCCTAAAAATTCCAAATCTGAAAAATCTATTGTCAGTGCACTTCTTCCCATTCTCACTGCCATCATCCATTCAAGCTCTCAATCCTTCACCCTGGATTCCCACTGTAACTTCCTGCCTCCTCTCTCTACCATCCTACTCTATCCTGTGCACCAATGCCTCCTAAAGGTGTGTATCTTTCCTATTCAAAAATCTTCAGTGGTAGAACTTTTAATGACACAGGAAAATGCTTAAGATAGAATAAAATTTTTTAAAGCACAAGTTAAAACTACACACACACACACACACACACACACACACACACACACTAATCTCAGTTATATTAAAAAAGCATTTCTGGCCGGGCGCTGTGGCTCACACCTGTAGTCCCAGCTACTTGGGAAGCTGAGGTGGGGGACTTGCTTGAGCCCGGGAGGTAGGGGTTGCAGTGAGCCAAGATCACACCATTGCACTCCAGCCTGGGTGACAGAGGGAGACCCTGTCTCAAAAAAAGAAAAGAAAAGAAAAAAAAAAGAAAAGAAAGAAAAATAGCATTATCTGTGTACATGGTACATGAATGGATGCAAGTATACATATAAACACACACATAGACACATAAAGGGACTAAAAGTGGGGCCAGGAAACACATGAAATGTTAATAGTGGTTATCTCTCAGTGGTAAGGCTATGGTTTGTTGGTGGTTTTCTTTTTTTTACTTTCTTCTTTATTTTTACAATAAAAAAAATTGTAGTAAAATCTCTTTTAGTAAAGGGTCTCCCCAAACCATCTACAACACACACAGTTAATTTGACAGCATTAAGATACTTTTTAAAGAACATTTCACATGCTCCCTACTACCACTGAGAATAACTCCTTGACCCCTGGAGTTCAAGGCCCTCCTCAGTCTGGCCCCTCTATCTCCTTCCTAGTCTTAGTCATTATGAGACCTAACATAACCTGGGGTCTAGATTCAACCACTCGCACCGTTCCTTGAGCAGAGCTGTTGCTTTCAAACTCTTTAACATTCACTCTACCTAGAATATGCTCCCTTTCCATTTCTACCCATCTTTGTGTTCTTTAAGGTTTTCTTTCTTTCCTTCCTTCCTTTTTTTTGAGACAGAGTCTTGCTCTGTTGCCCAGGCTGGAATGCAGTGGCATCATCTCAGTTCACCGCAACCTCTGCCTCCCAGATTCAAGTCATTCTCCTGCCTCAGCATCCCGGGTAGCTGAGATTACAGGCGCCCGCCACCACGCCTGGCTAATTTGTGTATTTTTAGTAGAGGCGGGGTTTCACCATGTTGGCCAGGCTGGTCTCAAACTCCTGGCCTCAGGTGATCACCCAACTCAGCCTTCCAAAGTGCTGGGATTACAGGCGTGAGCCACCGCACCTGGCCAGGTTTATTTCCAATGTTCCAGAAATTGCAAATATTACCATACTCATTTCCCTTGTCTATAACAGACATCACTAATTGCCTTCTCTGAATCTAGGCTCCCTCTCAAAATCTTTCTCAATTCAATGGTCCTAGGCAGGTCTTAACTAAATAAAATGAAGTTTATCTGCCACTCCTGTAGCAATCTAATGCAATTGCCTCTTCTCCCCCATCCATATAGTTCTTTGTACTCTCATAGAGCTTTTCTCCTCTATATTTTTTTAAGAATCATTTACCTTAGTTGTCTTATCTTCCTTTCCTACTAGATTTTAATCTACAAGAGGGCAGTAATTATCTTCCTATCCCCTACATAGCCTTGTATGAAGTAGTCACCCAAACAGTTGCTGAACAGGACACTTCATTCTTTTGTTATTCAAAATGGCTAAATATTTGAAAGCTTTATTTTAAAACAATTAAATTTTTCTTGAAGGACTAATTAGTCCAATGTAGTTTCATCAACTTTAGCTAACATTCCTGTTTAATGTAATAGAGCATTGCCTGATACCACATGAAAACCAACAGAGTCCAAGGATACAAGATAAGTCACTGGTAGGGGAAAGTATTGAGACAAGAGAACTTAACCCATTTTTAGGGTCTTATATGCAGATATAAAAACTATTGAATTAACCACATTTTTAGAATTTTTTTCTACTAAGTGGGAGAATCGCTTGAACCGGAGGCAGAGGTTGCAGTGAGCCGAGATTGTGCTGCTACACTCCAGCCTGGGCAACAGAGGGAAACCCTGTCTCAAAAAAAAATTTAAAAAAAAACAAACAAACAAGGAAATATGTAAAAAAAGATGAAGAGATAAAAAAGAAAAACAAAAAGCTAAAAATAAAAATCAACAAGGTATCAACAAAGCTAGGCAAGTAGTCTGGTAAAAATCACAAGAAGGGGCCAGGTGCTGTGGCTCATGCCTGTAATCCCAGAACTTTGGGAGGCCGAGGTGGGCGGATCACCTGAGTTCAGGAGTTCAAGACCAGCCTGACCAACATGGAGAAACCCCATCTCTACTAAAAATACAAAATTAGCCTGGCGTGGTGGCGTATGCCTGTAATCCCAGTTACTCGGGAGGCTGAGGCAGGAGAATAGCTTGAACCACGGAGGCGGAGGTTGCGGTGAGCTGAGATCACGCCATTGCACTCCAGCCTGGGCGACAAGAGCGAAACTCCATCTCAAAACAAAAAAAAAGAAAAAAAGAAAAAAAATCACAACAAGTTTTTACATAGATCAAAAATCCAGTTCAAGAGATGTGGGTAGTCTTTCTGTTAGTGGTACAGAAAGACTCATGCTGCCATCTAGAGGTTAAAGGCTAGATGATTTTTCTCCTCAGTCAAGGACTATTAATTTAGTTCTATGAGAGGTAGGACTTAATTGGCCTAATAAGGGAAGCCAGACAAATAATTCTGATGTCAGCCCACAAAAATAAATAAATAAATAAATAAATAAATAAATAAATAAATAAATACCAGGGGCAGGGCATGGTGGCTCACACCTATAATCCCAGTGCTTTGGGAGGCTGAGGCGGGAGGATTGCTTGAGCCTAGGAGGATGTGGCCAGCCTGGGCAACACAGGGAGACCCCATCTCTACAAAATAAAAATTAAAAAAAAAAAAAAATCAGTCAGGCATGGTGGCACTGTCCTGTGGTTCCAGCTACTCGAGAGGCTGGGCTGGGAGGATTGCTTGAACCTGGGAGGTCAAGGCTGCAGTGAGCTATGACTGCACCACCGCACTCTAGCCTGGGCAACAGAGACCCTGTCTCCAAAAAAACAAAAAGGTGTAAGAATCACAGTTATACTCTCCCTTCCCTCCTTTATATATTAAAATTACAAATCAAAAGAACTGTTTAGAATTTTATCTAGATGGGAAACAACTTCTAAATGTAAATGATCACTTTTTTGCAAATCACATGCCCAGAGGGTGGAGAAGTCTAGTACCACAGGCTAGTGCTGTGGAAACTTCTGCTTCTTGAAAGCAGTTTTTCTTAGTTACTACCATCAAATAAAGTACCAAATAGTAAAGTTGTATAGATAACTTCATCAATGTAGATTAATGGGATAAAGTATTAAGTTTTGAATGGAGACATCTTAATCTTTTTTTTTTTTTTGAGACGGAGTCTCGCTCTGTCACCCAGGCTGGAGTGCAGTGGCGCGATCTCGGCTCACTGCAAGCTCCACCTCCCAGGTTCATGCCATTCTCCTGCCTCAGCCTCCCAAGTTGCTGGGACTACAGGTGCCCACCACCACGCCCGGCTAACTTTTTTTGTATTTTTAGTAGAGACGGGGTTTCACTGTGTTAGCCAGGATGGTCTCGATCTCCTGACCTCGTGATCTGCCTGCCTTGGCATCCCAAAGTGCTGGGATTGCAGGCGTGAGGCACCATGCCTGGCCTCCTTTTTTTTTTGAGATGGAGTCTCGCTCTGTCACCCAGGCTGGAGTGCAGTGGCATAATCTCGGCTCACTGCAACCTCTGCCTCCCAGGTTCAAGCGATTCTCCTGCCTCAGCCTCCTGAGTACCTGGGACTATGGGCGTGCGCCACCATGCCCAGCTAATTTTTGTAGAGACAAGGTTTTACCATGTTGGCCAGGCTGGTCTCAAACTCCTGACCTCAGGTTATCTGCCCACCTCAGCCTCCCAAAGTGCTAGGATTACAAGCGTGAGCCACCACACTGGCCTTAATCTTTTTCTTTTAGAGATGGGGTCTTTCTTTTAGAGAATGGAGTCTTCGTTTTGTTGCCCAGGCTGGTTACAAACACTTGGCTTCAAGCAATCATCCCCGCTTGGCATCCCTCTCAATCTTTTTACAGTGAAATGTTGCTTTTAAAAAACAACAGTGATAAAATTTAGCCAAATAACAGTCCCATTAAACTGCTACATGAACGTACAGAATTATATGATTAATCAGCAGAAGCAACTACTTATATCAAAGTAAGCTAAATTCCTCAAAGCTTTTTTAGAAGGTAATATATTCAGTGTTACCTTATTTACATTAAAGCACATCTACAAAAAGCCCACAGCTAACACTGTGGGTTTCTCCCAAAGATCAGGAAAAGTCAAGGATGTCCACTCCTGCCACGTCTATTCAACACTGTACTGGGATTTCTAGCCAGGACAATTAGGAAAAAGAATTAATTTAAAGGCAGTCAGAATGGAAATGAAGAAGTAAAACTGTCTCTCTTTGCAAATGACAATTCTGTATATGGAAAATTATAAATAATCTACTAAAACATTATTAGAACTAAAGAAATAAGTTCAACGAAGTTGCAGAATACAGGATCAATATACAAAAATTAATTCTATTTCTCAGTAGTAGCAATGAGCAAACTGAAAATGAAATTAAGACAACAATTCCATTTATAATAGCATCAAAAAGAATAAAGTACTTAGGAAAAAATTTAACAAATGAAGTATAATATTTGTGCTTTGAAAATTGCAAAACATTGTTGATGTTGGAAAGCTCACACATCCCAATTTCAAAATTTACTACAAAGCTACAGTAAGCAAGAAAGTGAATTACTGGCATAAGGATAGAGATTACATCAATGGAATAGAATGAGAGTCTAGAAATAAACCTTCACATTTACGGCCAACCAATTTTTTTTGTTTTGAGGCAGGGTCTCTCTCTATAGCCCAGGCTGGAGTGCAGAGGTGTGATCATGGTTCACTGAAGCCTCAACCTCCCAGGCTCAGCCTCCTGAGTAGGTGAGACTATGGGTGCACATCACCATGTATGGCTAATTTTTAATCTTTTTGTAGAGATGGAGTCTCACTTTGTTGCCCAGGCTTGTCTCAAACTCCTGGGCTCAAGCAATTCTCCCACCTTGGCCTCCCAAAGTGCTGGGATTACAGGTGTGAGCCACCATGCCTGGCTGCCAACTGATTTTTTACAAGGATGTCAAGACAATTCAATAGAAAAAGGATAGTCTTTTCAACAAACGATGCTAAGAAAACTGGATATCCACATGCGAAAGAATTAATTTAGATCCCTATCTCACACCAAATATAAAAATTAACTTAAAATGAATCAAAGACCTAAATCTAAAATTATAAAACTCTTAAAAGAAAACACAGGCATAAGTTTTTGAGAACCTGGATTAGGCAATGGTTTATCAGGTAGGACACTAAAACACAAGCAACAACAAAATAGATAAATTGGATTTCATCAAAATTTAAAGCTTTGTGATTCAAAGGACACCATTAAGAAAGTAAAAAGACAACCCATAGAATGAGAGAAAACTTTTGCAAGTCATATATCTGATAATGTCATATATGTGATAATAACATATATATGTTTCTAGAATATATAATGAAGTCTTACAATTCAATAATAAAAACACAAACAATACAATTTACAAATAAGCAAAGGATCTGAATTGATAGTTCTCCAAAGAAGATATATAATAAGCACATGAAAACATGCTAAACACCATTATTACTAGACAAATGCAAATCCAAACCACAATGAGACACTACTTCATACCCTCTATGATGGACATGATAATAATTAAAAAAACAAAAAATACAAATAACAAGTATTGGCAAGGGTGTGAGAAAACTGGAACCCTTATACACTGCTTGTGGGAATGCAAAATGGTTCAGCTAGTTTGGAAAACAGTCTGACAGTTCCTCAATAGATCAGATATAGAGTTACCACATGACCCAGGAATTCCACCTCTAGCTATAAACCTAAGAAAATGAAAACATGTTTACCCAAAAAGTTGTGTGTTTTGGTTGAACCTGAATGTTCACAGCAGCATTATTTGAAGTAGCCAAGTAGTGAAAACAACTCAAACGCCCATCACCAGGTAGATAAATACAATGTGGCGTATCTATACAATGGAATATTATTCAGCCATAAAAAGAAAGAAAGCACTGATACATGCTATAGCATAATTGAACACTGAAAACATTATCTTAACAGAAAGAATCCAGTCACAAGAAACCACATATTATATGATTTCATTTACAAGCAATGTCCAGACGAGGCAAATCCATAGAGACATGAAGCCAGTAAGTAACAGCCTAGGTCTGGGGAGTTTGGGAAGTAATGGGGAGTGACTGCTAATGGGTGCAAGGTTTTTCAGGTGATGAAAATGTTGTAAAATTGGTTGTGGTGGTGACTGCAAAATTCTGAATATACAAAAATCACTGAATTGCACACTATAAATGGGGAATTATAGACTATGTGAATTACATCTCAATAAAGCTGTTACCCAAAAAAAAGAGAAAAAAACCAAATGTATCAGGGTCCCAAGGTTTAGCCGTAGTTTCAAATGATACAATCCTCTGCTTTCCCAGTTTTCACATTTTATTTAAAAATATTTCAAAGATAGCTAGTAAGTAGGTCATTTGCATGACTACTAACTGGTCTGTGGTCTTCAGAGATGGGGAAAAAAATCTATGGGCTATGGGCTGAAAAAGTAAAAATATGATTCTTATCTTAAAAAGTTACAATCAGTCCAAGGACTGAGACATGTACCAAAAATCTCCAAGAAGAATGGTAAAAGCACCTTACAAATCAAACAAACAAACTGCTCTAGGGGCAATTTGAGAGGCCAGAGAGAGCACTCACTTTCTAAATCAAGGATGAAAAGGGAAAGCTGATAGAAGGACAGCTTACCGAGAAAAAGGAATAGCATGAGTAGAACTAAGAAGATGGGGAAGTATTCCAGAAAGAGAGGGTAAAAACTGCTGAGAACTAGTATTCAATAGGATTCATGATAATGAACCTTAGGAATAAAGGAAGCAATGTAGTATTGAAACTTACAGGTCTAAATCAGGATCATAAGCATGTAATAATAGTGATGGAGTAGGGTTCAAGTAGAAGATAAACCAAGCGATCATCAACAAGTTTCACACTGTATTTATTCTGTGCTGTTGACCATCCACTGTCATAAGAGAAGACATTCCAGAAATAAGACCTTCAAATATTACGTCTCATCACTAAAACACCAACTACCCAGAAAAAGAACAATTTCCCGAAGCTTCAGACAGAGACAGTGCATGTGTTTTGGTAGAGGAGATGTAAGAAGGCTAGAGTAATCCGGCGAGGGTCAGAATGCAAAGGATTTTGAATGCCACACTAAGGGGCCTAAATTTTATCCTATGGGTAATGAAGTAGTACCAATGATTTATGAGCAAAAGACAAAGAGAAGAAAATGTACTTCAAAAAATCAGGCCGGGGCCGGGCGTGGTGGCTCACACCTGTAATCCCAGCACTTTGGGAGGCCAGGCGGGCAAATCACTTGAGGACAGAAGTTCGAGACCAGCCTGGCCAACATAGTGAAACCCCATCTCTGCTAAAAATATTTTTAAAACGCTGGGCATGGTGGTGCACACCTGTAATCTCAGCTACTTGGACGGCTGAAGCATAAGAATCACTTGAGCCTGGGAGGTGGAGGTTGCAGTGAGCCAAGACTGCACCACTGCATTCCAGCCTGGGAGACAAAGCAAGGCACTGCCTCAAAAAATAAACAAATAAATAAATAATAAATCAGGCTGGGGTAGGCATGGTGGTTCATGTCTGTAATTTCAGCACTTTGGGAGGCCAAGGAGGGAGGACTGGTTGAGCCCAGGAGTTCAAGACCAGTCTGGGCAACATAGTGAGACCTCGTCTCTACAAAATATCAAAAAAATTAGCCAGATATGGTGGCACTGCACCTGTAGTCCCAGCTACTTGGGAGGCTGAGGTGGGAGGATCTCTTGAGCCCAGGAGTTCGAGGCTGCAGTGAGCCATGATAAGGCCATGGCACTCCAGCCTGGATGAGAGACCTTGTCTCAAAAAAACAAACACAAAAACAATGCGGCAGCAGTAACAAGATAGATTGGAATGGGCTAGTTGAGAGGCAGAGGGACCAGCTAGAAGGTGACTGTAACATAGTTCCAGTAAAAGAGGGAGGACTCTGAGCTCAGATGGAAATAATAGAAATGGAATTCTTCATATGCTAAGGCAGAGTTTTACTTTTTTAAATATTTCTATATATTTCAAGGGAATTTCATATAAATTAACTGCCCAAATCAAGCCAAGAGGCCTCAATCATCTGAGAGACTATAAATCCCTATAAGAAAAGTTACTGCATTCCAAAATTTGCACACCAAAAGGGTTATCTGAGGCATAATCATGTACCAATTCAAAGGGTAGCACTCATCTTCCAAAAGACACAACCTAGTTACTATCAGCCCTAGAAGGTTCATATAATTTTTATACTAACATTTAACAATGCTCTTGGGAAGTGACAAACAATCATGTTTTGAGGACAAATATTTTTTGCATTTTTTTTCTTTCCATCATCTTTATCAGTGCAGATATTTGCATAAAAACAGGATCACTGGTCCTTGGGGATTCATCAGTTCCTACTGCTTATTTTTCACCCATGTCATCCTCTCAATTAATGCAGGAAAGAGGATTTAGACATTGAAACACCAGATTAGGGTGTCAAGTAAAAGCCAACCCCTAGAGTAGATGAATAATCTGTAAGGACAAAAAAAAAAAAATCTTGTTTTTAATGCAAATACACTACACACAATAAAACAAAGAGAGACTGTATGTAAGAAGTTCAATACACATCAATGTAATTGTTTCTCATTCTAAATTTTAAAGCTATTTCATGTCAGCTAAATTCACGATGGTCAAGGAAAACGGCAATCAGTTGCAAAGCAATGCTATGGAAATTGAAAGAACACCAAATTTTGAGGTAGAAGATAATTCTGAACAATCTCAGCTGTGCTCATGGGACTCATTTGGCAGAAACAAGCATTTCTCTTATACAGTTTTGGTTTAGTGCTGAAGGTGGCCGAATTAAATGACTTCAAACCCCCACCCCCAAAGCCTTAAGTTTTTAGAAATACAGTTAGCAGTAATAATGGCTTTAATTGTGTGGATTTAAAAAAATAACAAATGCCACACCAAGTTTTTGATTCCATTGAAAGTCATTAAAATAAACTTTACTGATGCTTAGGGAACAAACTCATTATTCTGAAAACTAATAAAGAAAGAAAAAGAATCATTTATCCCATCATGCCAGTAGAAGCAGTTTTCGAGGTAACCAAATAGTTGATAAGATACAGTCCTTTTTAGAAAAATTCTAGTCAATGAGAGAAATGACAGAATATTACTACCTTGCAACCTATAATAAAACAGTAAATCTAGACTGTGATCAAAGCCTGCTACTCTAGGTATAAGACTGATGAAGAATATTACAATGAATAAATCTGATTGTCATAGTTCCACCTGCATTTTATTTCCCCATCATTTGTTAAGCCTAGTCATTTGTTCTGTAGATTTTTCAAATTCTGGGTTTTGTTGATTACATTCCTGTGGTAGAGCTTAATTAACATGTTCACCTATCCCTTTTTATTTCCTGATAGTTAGATCTAGAATCCATCAACTATTAATCTTAGTATCACAAAAAGAAAGACCAGCACACATAATGTACCCAACACCAACTGTGAAATATTCTTATCAAAATTAAAAAAAAAAAATCAAGCCTGTATCTGTGCAAGCTTCTAGATCTAACAATCAGCAGATAAAAAAGGGATAGGTGAACATGTTAAGCTCTACCACAGGAATGTAATCAACAAAACCCAGATTTTGAAAAATCTACAGAACAAATGACTAGGTTTAACAAATGACAAGGGGAAATAAAATGCAGGTGGAAGTATGACAGGCTAAAAAAGATTTCAGAGACATATCAAATACAGTATATGAACCTTATTTAGATCCAGACTCAAAAAATGAACTGTATAAAGGCATTTATGAGTCAACTACAGAAATCTAAACCCTGATTGGCTATTTGATGATATTTAACAAGTTTGTTAAAAAAATTGTAGTTATAATAATGAAACTATTGTTATATTTTTAAAAAATAACAGTAGCCAGCTGGGCGCAGTGGCTCACTCCTGTAATCCTGGCACTTTGGGATGCTGAGGCAGGTGGATCACGAGGTCAGGAGATTGAGACCATTCTGGCCAACATGGTGAAACCCCGTCTCTACTAAAAATACAAAAATTAGCCAGGCATGGTGGCATGAGCCTGTAATCTCAGCTACTTGGGAGGCTGAGGCAGGAGAATCGCTTGAACCCAGGAGGCGGAGGTTGCAGTGAGCCAAGATCGCGCCACTGCACTTCAACCTCCAACCTGGCGACAGAGCGAGACTCCGTCTCAAAAAAAAAAAAAAGAAAGAAAAAGCCAGGCACAGTGGTATGTGCCTGTAGTCTCAGCTACTCAGAAGGCTGAGGTGGGCTGATTGCTTGAGCCCAGGAACTCAAGTCCAGCCTAGGCAACATAGAAAAACCCAGTCTCTTAAAAAAAAAAAAAAAAAAAAAAAAAAAAAAAAAAAACTGGCCAGGCCCGGTGGCTCACACCTGTAATCCCAGCACTTTGGGAGGCGGAGTTGGGCAGATCACCTGAGGTCAGGAGTTCAAGACCAGCCTGACCAACATGGAAAAACCCCATCTCTACTAAAAATACAAAATTAGCTGGGCCTGGTGGCACATGCCTGTAATCCCAGCTACTCAGGAGGCTGAGGCAGGAGAATCGCTTGAACCTGGGAGGTGGAGGTTGCAGTAAGCCAAGATCATGTCATTGCACTCCAGCCTGGGCAACAAGAGCAAAACTCCATCTCAAAAAAAAAAAAAAAAAAAAAATCTTACATTTTGTGCCACTGTTCCTGAAGAGAAAGGAAAAAAAACAATATGTCAGGTGTGGTGGCTCATGCCTGTAATCTCAGCACTTTGGGAGGCCAAGGTGAGCATATTATTTGAGGTAAGGAGTTTGAGACCAGCCTGGCCACCAGGGTGAAACCCCATCTCTACTAAAAATACAAAAATTGGTCAGACATCATGGTGCATGCCTGTAGTCCCCGCTACTTAGGAGGCTGAGGGAGGAAAATCACTTGAACCCAAGAGATGGAGGTTGCCGTGAGCCGAGATTGCACCACTGAACTCCAGCCTGGGCCACAGAGTAAGACTCTGTCTCAAAACAAAACAAAACAAAACAGCAAAAGAAAGTAAGAGTCCTTGTCTTCTGGAAACACATACAAAGTTACTCGGCAATGGGGTAATATGATGCCTGGAATTTGCTTTAAAGTAGCTACAGGAAATTGTTATAAGTAAAACAAGATTGGCTATATGTTGATTACTGAAGCTGGGCCATGGGTCATTATTCCGTTCACTCTACTTTGGTATAAATAATAAAAAGCAGGAAAAAATACTTCATTACCTTTCTCAGTAGGAAAGCAGAAAAAGAGAAACTAATTAGAGGAACCATAATTTCAGCTATAACTATAGATAATACTACTGACAAATCTATTTGGTAATATAGCATCTTCTTGATATAACAAACATAACATTTACTTCATTGAAAAACATTGACACAAAGAGATAAAGCCTTGATCACAATGATCATTACAGCATTTATTATCCAAAGCTAGAAACAAAATCAAGGAACAAAATCGACTATGAAAGTCTCACATTCATGAATTTACTAATCACAGATTTGCCTTTTCATTATAAATCAAGGAGGTCCATGACATACATGGTAACTAGTAATTTTGCCAAGGTATAAACTTTAATCATAAGAAATAAATTACCAGTATATAGAGAAGAGTTAGGTACTAATGAGTGAACTTAGCAGAGCAGCTAACAACCATATCTTGAAGCAGTTTGTTGTTCTCTATTTCTTGATTCCATAACCAATTCAAAAATGTTTTCTTGGTAAAAGAAAGCCAACTGCTGATGACAGTAATAGAAATAAAGGAAGGATAAAGAGGTCTGAGGAAGTGACGACTATCAGTTGAAAATTAGAAATTTTAAATTAATTTTCTTGTTTTTGAGACAGAGTCTTACTCTGTCGCCCAGGCTGGAGTGCAGTGGCATGATCTTGGCTCACTGCAACCTCTGCCTCCCAGGTTCAAGTGATTCTCCATCCTCAGCCTCCCAACTAGCTGGGATTATAGGCATGAGCCACTGTGGCCAGCCTTAAATTTATTTGTAAACTAAAATGCTGGTTGGGTGCGGTGGTTCATAATCCCAGCACTTTGGAAGGCTGAGGCAGGAAGATCACTTAAACCCAAGAGTTCAAGACCAACCTGGGCAATATAGTGAGACTCTGTCTCTACAAAAAAAATTTTTTAATTACCCAGGCACGGTGGTACATGCTTGTAGTCCCAGCTACTTCAGAGGCTAAGGTGGGAGGATCACTTGAGCCCAGGAGTTGAAGATCAGCCTGGGCAACATAGTAAGACTCTGTCTATTTAAAAATGAGATAATAACCTGAAGGGATTTCAATATACTTTTACTGTATAAAGAAAAATCGGCCGGGCGCGGTGGCTCACGCCTGTAATCCCAGCACTTTGGGAGGCCGAGGCGGGCGGATCACGAGGTCAGGAGATCGAGACCATCCCGGCTAAAACGGTGAAACCCCGTCTCTACTAAAAATACAAAAAAAATCAGCCGGGCGTAGTGGCGGGCGCCTGTAGTCCCAGCTACTTGGGAGGCTGAGGCAGGAGAATGGCGTGAACCCGGGAGGCGGAGCTTGCAGTGAGCCGAGATCCCGCCACTGCACTCCAGCCTGGGCGACAGAGCGAGACTCCGTCTCAAAAAAAAAAAAAAAAGAAAAATCATTTGTTACCTAGTAAATCCAGTAATTATTCCACCACACTCCACCATAAAAAGTCAATGAATTAGATTGACTTCTTACCTTCAGAATGCTTCTCTTTTCCCTAATATACTTTCTGAATTATAACTGGAGCTCAGGGTGGAATACCTGAGCTCAGGGTGGAATACACAGCTCAGGGTGGAATACACCCCTGAACAAATGCGATCGGGGTACTCACACTCATCCAGCCCCAGCTGATAGGCTAGGTTCTGTAGGCCTCGAACCTTCTCCATCAAATTAGCCGTGGTGAGACTCCCCAGTTCTGAAACAGAATCATTTATTTCAACATCATTTCTTTCCACTCTTCTCTAGTAGCAACTTCCTTGGGTTGGGAACTCTTGTTATACAAGTTTTCAAGCTTAATTACCACTGAATAAGTAGAAAATGGATCCGTAACTCCTCCCCCAATCTTAAACACACACAAATCAGGGAATTTTCCCACTATTGCAAAATTCCTCAGATAAGCTTACCCACTTAATAAGAAAAGAACTAGCATAAAAACAGAATTAGCTGGGCATGGTAGCACATGCCTTCAGTCCCAGCTACTTGGGAGGCTATGGCAAGAGGATCACTTGAGCCCAGGAGTTCAAGACCAGCCTGGGCAATGATACCTCACCTGTATAAAAATAATGCAAAAATTCAGCCAGGCATGGTGGCTCATGCCTGTAATCCTAGCACTTTGGGAGGCCAAGGCGGGCAGATCACCCGAGGTCAGGGGTTTGAGACCAGCCTGGCCAACCTGGCGAAACCCTGTCTCTACTAAAAATAGAACGATTAGCTGGGTGTGGTGGCAGGCGCCTGTAGTCCCAGCTACTCAGAAGGCTGAAACAGGAGAATCACTTGAACCTAGGAGGCAAAGGTTGCAGACAGCTGAGATTGTACCACTGCACTCCAGCCTAGGCAACAAAGTGAGATTCCTTCTCAAAAAAAAAATATAAATAAAATAAAATTAGCTGGGTATGGTGGTGTATGCCTGTAGTCCCAGCTACTCAGGAGGCTGGGATGGGAGGATCACCAGGAGGTCAAGGCTGTAGTGAGCCATGATGGCACCACTGCACTACAGTCTGGGTGACAGAGTGAGACCTTTTCTCAAATAAAAAAAGAAAAAAATAATAAAGTAACAAATTAAGTGATTCATCCTCAGGAAACATTATTTATAACATTTGTTTGGAATACATCATTAAAATGTAAAACCTTGTCTTTTGATAGCATTAAGAAAGCCTTGAAGACAGATCTGATCTGACAAAATGGACACTGTCTCCACTGTTAATTGTAAGTCCACATTATTTCGACTTATAATAAAGTGGCAACAAAACACTTACTATTCCCCATTTCCCTAAGTTTAGAAAACAAAGACTAAATAAAAATCTAAACTTTCCCTTCAAATCAAATTCCTATAAAAATCTTTAAGTTTACTAAGTAAAAAGACAGCATACTGTTGGAGGTTAGGAGCAAATGGAGTTGGTTAGGTCAGATCTCTTTCACCATCACAGTTACAATTCTGCAATGGCAGTTTCACTGTTGGGTGTTTCTGTGCTTGAGATATTTTGCAGGCCTTGCATTTGATGGATCAGTTGGTACCACCCAGATCAATAAACTGGTTCATCTGATCTTGTGGCCCCCACCCAGGAACTGACTCAGTGCAAGAGGACAGCTTTGACTCCCTGTGATTTCATCTCCAGCCCAATCAATCAGCACTAGCAACTCACTGTCCCCCCAACCCACCAAATTATCCTTAAAAACTCTGATCCCCAAATTCTCGGGGAGACTGAGTAATAAAAAAAACTCCAGTCTCTTGCACACACATACACACACACACACACACACACAAAGACAATACTTAAAAATGTTCTTTCCTGAATTTTTATTTAAATAGCACCCAATTCCTTTTAGGTTTAAGACACAGGTCAGTTTGCATAGAATATAATGCTATGATCCCTCACTAAAAATTTAAAGTTGCCTTAAGAAATACATGCTGATGAGATATTATATAAATGTCTGTTTGAAACATTAGAAGAATGAACCTGAGATGCCCTTGAGACTTAATTTTTCCATGGCAGGAGGAGGGAATCTGCATTTAAGCATTTCATAAAGAACAATGAATTACTTCTAAAATCAAATAAAGGTGTTTTTTTTTAATCTCATTTATCATGCCACAGTCATTATCTACACCTAGCATAAGTAGACTTTCTTGATATGTTCAGCTGTTTAAATACCTCAAGAATCCCAGGTTTTTACCTTAATTTCAGTCTATTACTTCACAATCATCATGAATCTTATCACCAGAAGGATGATAAAATAAATAAAGTAGGGCAAAATCATGGAAAATTAATGTTTTTTAATTTAAATTTCCACTTTGTGATTGAGTTTCAAATCATTTATCAAACAACAATATTCACTACTTATAGTATTCTTTATAGAAGAAATTGATGGGATAAAAAAATAAAAAATAGGTCTTAACCCACTAAGAGGTTGTCATTTAATAGTACTGACAATATATGGCAGTAAATTCTAAATAAGGCACTTGTGTTATAATGGAAAGAGGCTAGACTTAAAAAAGCAGAGTTTACGCGGGGCGTGGTGGCTCACGCCTGTAATCCCAGCACTCTGGGAGGCCGAGGTGGGTGGATCACTGGAGGTCAGGAGTTTGAGACCAGCCTGGCCAACATGGTGAAACCCCATCTCTACTAAAACTACAAAAATTAGCTGGACGTGGTGGGGGATGCCTGTAATTCCAGCTACTCGGGAGGCTGAGGCAGGAGAATCGCTTGAACCCAGGAGGCGGAGGTTGCAGTGAGCCGAGATCGCACCACTGCACTCCAGCCTGGGCAACAAAAGCGAGACTCCGTCTGAAAAAAAAAAAAAACCAGAGTTAAAATTTTTTAACTTTTTTTTTTTTTTGAGATAGAGTCCTGCTCTGTCAGCCAGGCTGGAGTGCAGTGGAACTATTGTTCGCCACAACCTCTGTCTTCTAGGTTCAAGTGATTCTCCTGACTCAGCCTCCAGAGTAGCTGGGATTACAGGAGCTTGCCACCATGCCTGGTTGATTTTTGTATTTTTAGTAGAGACGTGGTTTCGTTATATTGGTCAGTCTGGTCTCAAACTCCTGACCTCCAGTGATCCACCCACCTCGGCCTCCCAAAATGCTAAGATTACAGACATGAGCCACGCCTAGCCAAATTTTAACTCATTCTATCTTGGTTAACTTATGAACTTTGAATATCATCATACCCAACTCACAGGACCTTTATGGGAATTAAATGAAAAAATTTATGTTAGAGCTATTCGTTAACTGTATTATACAAAATCAGGTTCACATTAGAAGAATTTAGCACCAGCAGCAGAATTCACTATGACTGAGTCTTGAATTGGCAGGATTTCTACACATGGAAAAGGTAGAGAAGGGCATTGCAGACATGAAAAACTACAAATAAGGAGGTTTAAATGAGAAGTCTGAAGCCAAAAATACTTGTAAGGAAACAGAAAAAAAAAATAGAGAGGTGGTCTATGGAAAAACATAAATATCCAGTTAAAAGTGGTAACTAGCATCACTTACCTTTCAACATGTCGATGTCATCACGTTCTATCTCAGCCATCCATTTGGGTGGAGAACTAGTAATAGGCTGTCAAAAAATAATATATCCATTCAGACACATAAAAAGTGTGAGGAGACCCTATTATTCTTATAAGAAGTGTAGCCTGGGCCGGATGCGGTGGCTGCCAAGGTGGGCGGATTACTTGAGGTCAGGAGTCAGGAGTTCGAGACCCGCCTGGCCAACATGGGGAAACCCCATCTCTACTAAAAATACAAAAAAAATTAGCCAGGCGTGATGGCACACACCTGTAATCTCAGCTACTTGGGAGGGTGAGGCACGAGAATTGCTTGAACCTCTTGAATGTGGGAGGCAGAGGTTGCAGTGAACCAAGATTGTGCCACTGTACTCCAGCCTGGGTAAGAGTATTACTCTGTCTCAAAAAAAAAAAAAAAAAAGAAAAAGAAAAAATGCAGCTTGTCACATAGCCTTCAGGTTGTTTGGAAATACTGGCAGATTATAATTTCAAAAACCTGGATTTCTCCAGGTTTAGATATGGCCTACAAATAGTCACTGCAAAAAACATGGCTCATCTTGAAAGTCAGTCTCAGAGAAATCACTGTGGAAGAATAGGTATGACCACTATTACTGATTTATGCCTAACAAGTTAGTATAGCAATGAATGAAATTACTTGAAATTCAGTTCTGGTGAAAGCCTCCAATTCAACTGTTTGAAACACTAATCAGTAAGTAACATTCTCTGGCATACGGGAGATTCAAAGAAGAATCAAGAATGAGAAAATCATCATTTTAAGTGAGAGAAGTCTGGAATGGTCATCACTTGGAATTTCACAATTTTATTGTAGAGGTTTTAGGAAACTTCAGAATTTTACAATTTTTCATTTATGAAAGTGAACTTAAAACTATGAAAGAAAGCCCATTCTTAGAATAGCTCTGGGTTGGCAGTTTAATGCTAGTTGCACACGAGAATCACCTGTGTAACTTTTAAAACTATAAATGCCTTGGCCACACTCCAGACATAATGATTTAGAATATGAGGGGTAGGGAAGGGTCCAGTGGAAAAAGTAGAGCAAGGGACTCCTCATATGTGCTTTTCTTTTTTTATATTTAATTAATTTTTTTCTTGGTGCTCATTTGTTACAGTGCATTTTTCAAGAGCTCCATAGCTGCATGTTGATGATTCTGTCATGCACAAAAGGTAGGGTTGAGAAACATTATTTCAGCTTTGCGTCTTTCTCTTTTTTTAATTAAAATGTACTCAGAACCTATTATGTGACAAGCAAAACACTTTACATGCATCAAGTCATTTACCTCCAAATCAACTCTATAAAGTAGGTATTTTTTTCACATTAAAAAAAACAAAAAAACAAAAACACATACATTGGCTCACACCTGTAATCCTAATGCTATGGGAGGCTGGAGCAGGAGGATCACTTGAACCCAGGAGTTCAAGACCAGCCTGGGAAATATAGTGAGACCTCTTCTCCACAAAAAATTTTAAAAGGCCAGGCGCGGTGGCTCACACCTGTAATCCCAGCACTTTGGGAGGCTGAGGTAGGTGGATCACTTGAGGTCAGGAGTTTGAGACCAGCCTGACCAAGATGGTGAACCCCGTCTCTACTAAAAATACAAAAATTAGCTGGGCGTGGTGGTGGGCACCTGTAATCCCAGCTACTCAGGAGGCTGAGGCAGGAGAATCGCTTGAACTTGGTAAGTGGAAGTTGCAGTGAGCCGAGATCGTACCACTGCACTCCAGCCTGGGCGAAGAGTGAGACTCTGCCATAAATAAAATAAAATAAAATAAAGAACAGAGATCTGAGCTTTTACTCAGGAGCGAAACTTTGGATTGACCTCAGTAGGTAAGGGATATTACTTACACTTTTGAAGGAAGCTGCAAATTCAGCAACACCTGGTACTAAAAAGAAAAACAAAACTTTATTTATTCAATAAGTATGATTGCTCAGGCATAGAAGATCCAAATAATAAGAAAACAGCTTTGTCTGTTTTCTTATAGTTTAGAAGAAGAGAAAGAATAAACCAATAACTATAACACTGTTTCAGTCCTCAAAGAAAGATGCCAGGACTATGGCAAGACAAAAAATGGCAAGCTAAGTCAGACCCAGGGGGCATAAAAAGCTTCTCAAGGAAAATAATGCCTCAACTGAACTTGGAAGGACCAGGAGTTAGCTGGTTGGGAGGGTGGTAAGATACAATATCTCTTACCAGAAAGTTTAAACTGCCTTTTTAGAGATGCTGTTCTGTCAATCCAATTTTATTTATTTAAATTTCTCACAGAAAGAATCACATTAAAATGCAGAAAAATAAAAATCAGGGCTGGGCATTTTGAGAAGTCAAGGCAGGAGGATCCCTTGAAGATCAGCCTGGGCAACAGGGCAAGACCCCAGACTCTACAAAAAATTAAAAAACGGGCCGGGTGCAGTGGCTCATGCCTGTAGTCCCAGCACTTTGGGAGGCTGAAGCGGGTGAATCACTCGAGCTCAGGAGTTGGAGACCAGCCTGGGCAATATAGTGAAACCCCGTCTCTACAAAAAATACAAAATTTAGCCAGGCGTAGTGATGTGCCCCTGTAGTCCTAGCTACTTGGAAGGCTTGAGCCCGGGAAGTTGAGGCTGAAATGAGCCATGATCACACCACTGCACTCCAAACTGGGCAACAGAGGAAGACCCTGTCTCAAAAAAAAAAAAAAAAAAAACAGTTAGTTGGGCATGGTAATGCACACCTATAGTCCTAGCTACTTAGGAGGCTGAGGCAGGAGGATGGCTTGAACTCAGGAGTTGGAGGCTGCAGTAAGCTATCATCGTGACATTGCACTTTAGCCTGGGTGATAGGATGAGCCTCTGTCTCTAAAAAAAATATATAATTAAAATAACATCTTTGCCTGAGCTCAGGAGTTGGAGACCAGCCTGGGCAACACAGTGAAACCCCGTCTCTACTAAAATACAAAAGATTAGCTGGGTGTGGCGGCATGTGCCTGTAGTCCCAGCTATTCAGGAGGCTGAGGCAGGAGAATTGCTTGAACCCGGGAGGTGGAGGTTGCAGTGAGCTGAGATCACGCCATTGCACTCCAACCTGGGCAACAGAGCGAGACTCCATCTCAAAAAAAAAAAAGTTCAATCTCACCAAAAAGGAAATGTAAAATGAAACTAATAGATTAGTAACATCTAATACTGGCTAGTATGTGAGGAAAGGGGCCCTCATACAGTTATCCTCTTCCATGTATATGAAGATATGTGTACATGGGTATTCACTGATAAACTGTCTGTAAAGTCAAAAACTAGATATAGGCCAGGCACAGTGCCTCACACCTGTAATCCCAGTGCTCTGGGAGGCCAAGGTGGAAAGACAGCCTGAGCCCAGGAGTCTGAGACCAGTCTGGGCAACACAGTGAGATCTTGTCCCCCCCAAAATTTTTTAAATAGCTGGTTGTGGTGGTACATGCCTGTGGTCCCAGCTACTCAGGAGGCTGAAGTGAGAGGATCACTTGAGCCCAGGAGGTTGAGGCTGCAGTCAGCTGTGATCACGCCACTGCACAAAGCCTGGGTGACAGAGTGAGACCCTTGCTCAAATTAAAAAAAAAAAAAAACTACAAAGTAGATATAACTTAAGTTTCCAAATAATGTATGAATACATAAACTATAATATATCCATACAATGAAATATATTTAAAAGAATGAAGTAGACATACACATACCAAGATGGAACTGTTCACATGTGGAGTAAGTTAAGTGGCAGGCCACATGCATATGACTCCAACATTATGAAGAAAAAAAAAATCCCTCTTATACATACTTAAAAAATTATTATTTCCTTATCTGTATAAAATAGGTCAAAAGGATTTGTACCTTTTTTTTTTTTTTTGAGACAGAGTTTCACTCTTGTTGCTCAACCTGGAGTGCAATGGAGTGATCTCAGCTCACTGCAATCTCTGCTCACTGCAACCTCTGCCTCCCGGGTTCAAGCGATTCTCCTGCCTCAGCCTCCCAAGTAGCTGGGATTACAGGCATGTGCCACCACGCTCAGCTAATTTTTTGTATTTTTAGTAGAAACGGGGTTTCGCCATGTTAGCTAGGCTGATCTCAAACTCCTGACTTCAGGTAATCCGCCCACCTCGGCCTCTCAAAGTGCTTGGATTACAGGCGTGAGCCATCACACCTGGCCGGAGTTGTACCTTTTACAAGGATTTGTACGATTAACAGTGGTTAACGTTATAAGAGTGGGCCAGGTGCAGTGGTTCAGGCCTCTAATACTAGCACTTTGGGAGGCTGAGGCAGGCAGATCATCTGAGGTCTGGAGTTCAAGACCAGCCTGTCCAACATGGTGAAGCCTCTTCTCTACTATAAATACAAAAATTAGCCAGGTGTGGTGGCATGCACCTGTGATCCCAGCTACTTGGGGGGCTGAGGCAGGAGAATTGCTTGAACCCGGAAGCAGAGGTTGCTGTGAGCCAAGACTGCACCATTATACTGCACAGCCTGGGGAACAAGAGTGAAACTCCATCTCAAAAAAAAAAAAAAAAAAAAGAGTGATTGAAAAAGGTGAGAAAACGCTTTATATATCTCAGTATTATGTGAATTTCTTATAAATGTAGTTTTGGGGGCTGGCTGTGGTGGCTCACTCCTGAAATTTCGGCACTTTGGGAGGCCGAGGTGGGCGGATCACCTGAGGTCAGGAGTTCAAGACCAACCTACTTGGTGAAAAGCCGTCTGTACTACAAATACAAAAATTAGCTGAGCATTGTGGCGGGCACCTATAATCTCAGCTACTCGGGAGGCTGAGGCAGGAGCATCGCTTGAACCAGGGAGGCGGACGTTGCAGTGAGCCGAGATTGCACCATTGCACTCCAGCCTGAGCGACATGAGCAAGACTCCATCTCAAATAAATAAATACACAAACAAACAAATAAGTGTAGTTTGGGGGATTTTTTTGAGAAAGAGTCTTTCTCTGTTGCCCAGGCTCGAGTGCAATAGTGCAATCTTGGCTCACTGCAACCTCCGCCTCCCGGGTTCAGGCAATTCTCGTGCCTTAGCCTCCTGAGTAGCTGGGATAGCAGGTGTGCACCACCACGGCCAGTTAATTTTTGTATTTTTGATAGAGACAGGGTTTCGCCATGTTGGCGAGGCTGGTCTCAAACTCCTAGCCTCAAGTGATCCACCCGCATTGGCCTCCCAAAGTGCTGGGACTACAGGCATGAACCACCATGCCCAGCCTATAAATGTAGTTTTAAAAAGTAATTAATGGCCAGCCATGGTGGCTCACGCCTGTAATCCCAGCACTCTGGGAGGCCGAGGTGGGTGGATCACCTGAGATCAGGAGTTTGAGACCAGCCTGGCCAACATGGCAAAACCCTGTCTCTACTAAAAATACAAAAAATTAGCCGGGCATTGCGGCATGTGCCTGTAATCCCAGCTACTCGGGAGCCGAGGCAGGAGAATCGCTTGAACCTGGGAGGCAGAGGTTGCAGTGAGCCAACACTGAGCAATTGCACTCCAGCCTGGGCAACTAGAGCGAAACTCCGTCTAAAAAAAACATATATATATATATACATATATATAATAATAATAATTATTGTTGGCTAGGCACGGTGGCTCACACCTGTAATCCCAGCACTTTGGGACGCTGAGGCAGGTGGATCACCTGAGGTCAGGAGTTCGAGACCAGCCTGGCCAACATGGTGAAACCCTGTCTCTACTAAAAATACAAAAAATTAGCCGGGCATGGTGGCATGCACCTGTAGTCCCAGCTACTTGGGAGGCTGAGGCAGGACAATCGCTTGAACCCTGAGGCAGAGGATGCAGTGACCCGAGTGCACCACTGCACTCCACCCTGGGCGACAGAGAGAGACTCTGGTTCAAACAAAATAATTATTATTGTTTAATGGCTCCTTATTTTCTGAGTCACACTGTGTTCTGAACAAATTAAACCACCAAACAGCTATTCTTAACACTGGACTTCAATCTCTTCTCTTTGAAATAAAATAAAACTTTAATCATTAAAGTTAAATGATAACTCTTCAGCCTGGTCTGATGGTAATGGGTTATCAGAACTTTTTTTTTTTTTTTTTTTTTTTTGAGACAGAGTCTCACCCTGTCACACAGGCTGAAGTGCAGTGGCACAATCTCTGCTCACTGCAGCCTCCGCCTCCTGGGTTCAAAAGATTCTCATGCCTCAGCCTCCTGAGTAGCTGGGATTACAGGTGTGTGCCACCACATCCAGCTAATATTTCTATTTTTTTTTTAGTAGAGACAGGGTTTCACCATGTTGGCCACGCTGGTCTCAAACTCCTGACCTCAGGTGATCCTCCCAACTCGGCCTCCCAAAGTGCTGGGATTACAGGCATGAGCCAACAAGCTCAGCCTGTTATCAGAACTTATTAACGTTAGTGTCACTAAAGTTTGTATACAACCCCCCACTGCTAAATTTGACTAGCTTCAAAATAAATAAAAATTTACAAAATAAATAACTCTTTAAAAATCTCTTTAAAAAGGAACATTGTTTCTCCTGCATTGACTCTGATATAAAGAAGGCAAAAACTTACATTGTTCTGGCCAAAGATCTGGTGAGGCACGGTCAAGTTTTTCAAAACTTAGCAAAGATGCTTCCAGATCTGTCCCTAGAACAAAACATCCAGATGAACCAAGAAGACAGGAAACACATTAATGTATATGATACTTCAATCTCAAAGGACATAAACTGGAACACTCACCTGGAAGTCTAGAGATATGAGTTCTGTAACTATTGATGCCACTGGTCCGTGATAGAATACAAATAAATCATTCTCCCTTACCAAACCTCACTCTTTCAATCTATGAATGGGAATGATATTTTATTGGGAGTGTTAAGAAAAATGAGTATCAATGAACCCACCTGCATCTTCATTCATACTCTTGTGCTTTCCTCCAGTTACAATGAATTAAGTGTTTCTCCTTCCATGAAACAGACTCTTCTGATAGCACTCTAGATGCCATCTTCTCTTGCTTTATCAAGGACATCATTTGCATATCATCTTTCTCAGGTACCATCAGTTTCTACCTTCTCTAGCCTCATCTCAGTGTCACTAAAGTTTGTACACAACCCCCCACTGCTAAATTTGACTAGCTTCAAAATAAATAAAACTTTACAAAATAAGTAACTCTTTAAAAATCTCTTTAAAAAGGAGCAGTACCAATCAAGCTGGTTGCAGAATTTCTGTGTTTCAAAAAAAAACCCCAGCCGGACATGGTGGCTCATGCCTGTAATCCCAGCACTTTGGGAGGCCAACACGGGTGAATCACAAGGTCAGGAGTTTGAGACCAGCCTGGCCAACGTGGTGAAACCCTGTCTCTACTAAAAATACAAAAAATTAGCTGGGTGTGGTAGCAGGCGCCTGTAATCCCAGCTACTCAGGAGGCTGAGGGAGGAGAATTGCTTAAACCCGGGAGGCAGAGGTTACAGTGAGCCAAGATTGCACCACTGTACTCCAGCCCAGGCAACAGAATGAGACGCCATCTCAAAAAAACAAACAAACAAACAAACAAAAAACACCAGGGCAGGTGGGGTGCCTCATGCCTATAATCCCAGCACTTTGGGAGGCCAAGATGGGTGGATCACTTGAGGTCCGGAGTTCAAGACCAGCCTGGCCAACATAGTGAAACCCTGTCTCTACTAAAAATACAAAAATTGGTCAGGCATGGGGGAACACACCTGTAATCCTAGTTACTGGGGAGGATGAGGCAGGAGAATCGTTTGAACCTGGGAGGTGGAGGTTGCAGTGAGCCAAGATCACACCACTGCACTCCAGCCTGGGCAACAAAGCAAGACTCCATCTCAAAAAAAAAAAAAAAAAAGAGTGCACTGTTATACATGCCCACTTGGGCTTTGGGAGTCACAGGCACCCACCCCTAGATGCTACCGTGGGGCTGGAGCCCAAAAGTGCTCGCCCTGACTCCTACACCTGCCCATCTGCGTGCTCCCTCTCCCATAAGAGGATTGAGTGCACACAGACAAGCCACACCCCTGTCGTATGTCCTGCGGTTAGGGAACTCCCCTATTTCAACATGAGGACTTTTATCTTCATCTGTATGCCAATGACTCCATATTTATATTTCCATTCCCAACCTTTCTAAAGAACTACAAAGGTTTATGTCCAAGTGGTTATTTGAATCCCTCTCTATTTACATATAAAAAAACTGCTTAAGGCCAGATGCAGTGGTGCACGCCTGTAATCCCAGCAGTTTTGGGAGGCCGAGGTGGGTGGATTGCTTGAGCTCACGAGTTTGAGACCAGCCTGGCCAACATAGTGAAAACCCATCTCTACAAAAAGCAAAAAAATTAGCCAGGTGTGGTGGTGTCAGCCTGTAGTCCCAGCTACTTGGGAGGCTGAGGTGGAAGGATGGCTTGAGCCCAGAGGTGGCAGCTGCAGTTAGCTAAGGTCACACCACTGCACTCCAGCCTGGGTGATAGAGCCACATCCTGTCTCAAAAAAAAAAAAAAAATCCCCACTTAAACTTTAAACCTAATTATCTTCAAAACCATATTCCCCCAATCTTCTCCCATCTCAAGAAATAACACTACCATAAATTCCAATTCTCAGATCAAAAACCCAGATGTCATCCTTCATGCATTCTTTTCCTTCACCCTTCCATAACCAATCCATGAGTAAATCTAGTCGTTTCTACCTTCAGAATACACCCTGAAATCAAATAACCCAAGGAACCATCACTTCTTTCTTGGACTACTTCAACAGCCTCTTAACAGATCTCTCTGCTCCCATTCTTACCCTTTCCCCTTCACACCCCCGGAATCTATTCTCCATAAAGAGGCCAGAATTGATTTTTTTAAACGTCAATCAGTTCGTGTCTCTCTCCAGCTTAAAGTTCCTCCCAGCTAAATCTGTGAATGTGTATCTACCACACTCTATAAAATCTTACTCAGCCTCTACCTAATTCTTTGACATCATTTCTCTTCCACTCTTCCCTTGCACACAGTAGTACTCAATATTAACATTTGTTGAGTTTTTATTGTATGCTCAGTATGCTAACCAGTTGCATAACTAGTTCATTTAATGCTATAAACAGCAGTTCTTAACATTTTCTGGGTAACCACATCTCTGGAAATCTGGGAAATAAAATGAACTCACTCCCCAGAAAATATACATACGTACAAAATGTACTTTTCTCTAAACTGAATTTGTTTTGCCAAATATTCCAAAGGAATTTCCAATGGCATTTTAATTGTAAAGAACTCAACTAATACATTGCCTTAATTAAAGCATCCAAAAATTAGCTTCTCTTTGTTACCGATTTCTGAGGAATGTTCAACCATAACAAAAGTAAAGTTATTGGGCCAGGTACAGTGGCTCATGTCTGGAATCCCAGTGCTTTGGGAAGCCGAGGCAGGAAGATTGCTTGAGCCCAGGAGTTTGAGACCATCCTGGGCAACATAGTGAGACTCCATCTCTACAAAAAATAATAAGGTGGGGGCATGGTGGCTCACGCCTGTAATCCTAGCACTTTGGGAGGCCGAGGTGAGTGCATCACCTGAGGTCAGGAGTTCAAGACTAGCCTGGGCAACATGGTGAAACCCCGTCTCTACTCAAAATACAAAAATTAGCCAGGTGTGGTGGCGTGTGCCTGTTATCCCAGCTACTGGAGAGGCTGATGCATGAGAATTACTTGAACCCAGGAGGCGGAGGTTGCAGTGACCCGAGATCATGCCACAGCACTCCAGCCTGGGTGACAGAGTGAGACTCCGTCTCAAAACAAAATAAATAATAATAATAATAAATTAGCTGGGCATGGTGGTGTGAGCCTATAGTACCAGCTACTTAGGAGGCTGAGATGGGAGAATCGCTTGAGCCTTTGAGGGTGCAGTGAGCTATAATCATATCACTGCATTTCAGCATGGGCAATAGAGTGAGAGAGACCCTGTCTCTAAAAGAAAGTTAAAAAAAAATTATTGGGGGTACAATCTAATAACCTACATGGGTGACCTTATGATACCACAGTCTGGGATAGAACTCAGACTCTGCTGTGAGTCTTACTCTCATAAATTAAGTAATTAGATGGCTGTATTTGAATTTCAGTTTTCTCCTTTTCAAAGACGCTCCAGCAAATTTATCACGAAAAAGACAAAAGAGTAAATGACAAACATATTAAAATAAATATTATCTGAATTAAATTTTAAAGACAGTGACAGGTGGAACACTAAAAATAGAAGTGAAAGAGCTAGGCCGTGGAATATTTTGGAATGAGATACTTATTTAGAAGCTGAATTTAAGTTCAAAGTGCTTGACTTGATTTTTTCAGATTAAAAAGAAAACATTAGGTGGAGAGGAGTGAAACTTTGTAAGAGATGAGAATGAAAACTTAAAAATCAAGAGTGCAAATAAAGTGACCATAGAGATGGCTAGAAAAGGAAAAAAATTTAATTTTTTTTTTTTTTTTTTTTTTTGCAATGGAGTCTCGCTCTGTCCCAGGCTGGAGTGCAGTGGCGTGATCTCGGCTCACTGCAAGCTCTGCCTCCCGGGTTCACGCCATTCTCCTGCCTCAGCCTCCTGAGTAGCTGGGACTACAGGCACCCACCACCACGCCTGGCTAATTTTTTGTATTTTTTAGTAGAGACAGGGTTTCACTGTGTTAGCCAGGATGGTCTCGATCTCCTGACCTCGTGATCCACCCATCTCGCCCTCCCAAAGTGCTGGGATTACAGGCGTGAGCCACCACGCCAAGCCAAATTTAATGTTTTTAATACTCTTCCTGGCCAAAGAAAGGAAACTAAATTGAGAGATGACAGGGGAAAAAAATCAAACTCAAGGAACACATCTCTAAAATCCCCAAAGTTTGTAAAAACAATTTAAAAATAAACTAAAAAGTTTAATAACAATTACTTCTACTTGTATTACTTGGCTTTTTTTTTCAACTGTGGTGAAATATACATAAATTTTACCATTTTAATAACTTTTAAGTATACATTTCAGTGGTATTAAGTACATTAATTGTGCAATCATCACATTCATTTCCAGAATTCTTTCACCTTCCCAAACTGAAATTTGGTACCCATTAACAATAACTCCCTATTCCCTTGCCTGACTTTTTAAATGCCCTTCTTTCTGGCAAGAGAAGGACATTTTTGCAAGAGCGCACCCAGGCAGGAGAATCTCTTTTGACTCCAAACATCCATAATTTCTTTTTTTTTCCTTCTTTTTTTTCTGAGACGGGGTCTCGCTTTGTCACACAGACTGGAGTGCAGTGGCATGAACATGGTTCACTGCCGCCTCCACCCCCTGGGCTCAAGAGATTCTCTTGCCTCAGCCCCCCCAAGTAGCTGGGACTACAGGTTTGTGGCATCACACCCAGATAATTTTTGTATTTTTTTGTAGAGATGGGGTTTCACCATGTTGTCTAGGCTGGTCTTCAATTCCTGAGCTCAGGCGATCTGCCTGCCTCAGCCTCCCAAAGTGCTGGGATTAGAAGTGTGAACCACCACGCCCAGCCATAATTTCTAATACAGTATGTACCTGCGCTCACAAAATTTAAGACTCGGTTAAACTTAAAACTTAAGATCAAGTAATATATTATTTCTGCATATATCTAATCAATCTTTCAATAAATGTTAATTAAAGACCTACTGTTCGTCAGGCACTGTGCTAAACCTGGATCCAACTATGAACAAGACAAACTTGGAATTTACAATCTAGCGCAAAAGGGGCAAAGTTAACAGAGTAACTATGCTGACAAGGAAGATACTGAGATAATGAATAATGGTGGGAAAGGGCAACTCCAGATACTGTGTTCTAAGAAAGACTCTTTGGGAGGTGACATCTAAAAAGAGAACTGAAACTGAAAAAAAAAAATGTTTATATGTTTGAGTCATCTTTTGGTCTCCCAAAGCACCTAGCATTATGCCTTTCATGTAGCAGGTACTTAATATAGCTCACCTTGGCTTCAATTTCTTCATTCCTGCAATGAACTTCCAAGATTCCTTCCAAATATAAAATGTTTTTGTCTAAGGGAAGGAAACCTATATATCAATAAAATCGATATATAGTTGGGATGAGGATGGTAGAACTAAAAATGAGTTTAAAAATGACTGCAAGACCCTAACTCTCTAAAGCAGAACCAAGAGGAAAAGCATGGGAGTATACCAAAACAACTTAATTGTTACTTGAAATGACTTGCATTTTACACAATATATAAACAGAAATCGTTAATTCACTCAGCCTTAAGAAACAACACGTAAAGCAGATGGAAGACAGGTTGCGACCTGTGCAAGACGACACTTAAAAGCTCAATACTGATTCTCCTCGCGACTCTCAGGGCGAGGGGCCGAGAACGTCCCCCGCTTCTCTTGCTGCCACGGCAATGGTCCCAAACTGAGGAGACAGGAGAGAGATCATGTTTCTCTTGCGGTTCAGTATCGAGATGAGGTCAGCCAGCAGCCCTGCGAGGGTTTGTGAGAATCATTCCATCCGTGCGCTCAATCAGAAGAGAACTGATCCTTTCAATGGGTACCCCAAGGAAAAAACTACAGTAAGCCACGTCCTCCAGAAACATCTCCTCCTCGACCCTCAGCCTCGCCCAAATAGAGATAAGGAAGGCACAGGGCGACCCCCCTGTCCTTTTACCCAGAATGAGTCCCTCCCTAGTGCCCTCCTCCACACGCCTGGTACAGAGCGGGGAAACTGGGCACCTCCGGAGCTGCTGTGAAGAACCGGTGAGCTGAAGACGGCGATGGATCTCAAGAAAAAAAATAAAAGGGAAAGGAGAAGAGCCCAAGAAAGAAATGTATGTTCGAGGGGCAGAGACAGAGTGGATGTTCCCAGTAGAGCAAAGAAGGAGGCTGCAGGCAAAGATCTCTAAGCCGGCTCTTACCGTCTGTGGGAGACGCCATCTTCCAACCCATGTCACGTGACGTGGCCAACCGTCGGCGGGAAAACGAGGTTCCATAAGCCACGCCCCCAAAGAGAAACCCTATCCCCAACTCGCAGCCCAGTCTCATTCCCTCGCCTCATAGGGCAATCTTTGCCTAGCCCCGCCCCTAAGTATAGCCACGCCCCTTACGCGGATGTTGAGGTGGAGCGACTGCAAAATTCTTGAAGGGTCTTATTTACTTTTTTCAGTGGGGGGGTGGGGCCTCGGTTCCGCCCTTGGCCAATCGGAGTTCCAGGTTAGGGGGGCGTCTTCCCCGTGTGCTCGGTAGGGAGTGTCCAAGTCAGGGGCGTCTTCTCTACCTCCGCCTACGTCATTGGCTGAGGTGGCAGAGGGCGAGAGCATTTTCGCTCCTAACCAATCACTTATCCCCAGGACGGGGGTGTGAGGAGAGGAATCAGGTGTTCGGACCAGTGATTGGCTGGAGAAAATAGTCCTCCCCACCAATGAGGAAGCCTGGCAGGATGGAGGGCGAGGCCTGGCAGCTGTAGTGCTTCTGGGCAGTAGAGGCGCGGGGTGCGGAGCTAGGGCGGCCGAGAGCCATGGCGGCGCTATTGGCGGCGGCGGCAGTGCGAGCCCGGATCCTGCAGGCGAGTGAGGGTGGTGCCAAGGCACCATGAAGCTAGGAATTGGATCCTTTCCGTCCGCTCCCTGAGCCATCCTCGGGCGGGACCACCTTCTTGGCCCAACCCCTTTTTGGCCAGACCTCCTACCCGACCTGTGCGGCCCTGTCCCATGCCCAGCCCTCACTTCATAACCTCCCTGGTCCCGGATCCAACCCTGGGCTGTTACCCTTGGCCCTCTACCCTTTTACTCCTAAGCCTCCTCTTTTCTGGCTCTCGCCCACTCTCCTTCTCCAGCTCTGCCCGCTCCCTGCTGTCACTCTCTTGCCCTCATCTCTCCATCCGCCCACCGTCTTTCCTTTTTACCTCTGCACCAGCCTTCTCTCTCTCCCCCAGAAACTACTCTTTTTGGTTACTCTGTCCCCTGCCGTGAGCGTCCACTTTGCCATTGCTCCCTTCCCCCACCCTACTTCACTATCCGTGGTGATCTGAGGTAAGGGGGAGGGGGGACGCGAGGGGCGAGGGTCAGTGTATGAACTTTGAATTTCCTTCTAGAGGTGGACTCTAGATTTTCACCAAAGGCAGCCATTTGCTAAGCTATTTTCCCTAAGTGTGGCTCTTTGTATTTTCCATGGACTGGCTGTCCCCTTTCTTGCCAAAACTTTGAGTTAAACTTTTTCTCAGCTAAGTTACAGTTTACATAGATAGGGCACATCTACATAGATAGGGTAGATAAGGGCACACAGTTAAAGCTACCAGTATGTTCCATGTATGTTCAAGGTACCAAACATCTTTAAAACGGGTGATAGAAAGTGGGAGCCAGGTAAGACAAGAAGTCTAAGTTCCCACCCCAAAATCAGCTCTTCTAGTGCTACACACCCTCATCTCTGCACTTGGGGGATTGAGTCCTCTCTGAAGCCAACCTAAGGAGAAATGGTAAAGCTACAGGAGTTGCATGCCTGAGGCCTGTAATCTCCAACTCTGTTTATAGTCTTTCCCCTGTTCATGGCCTACCAAGGATTTAGAGTATGTGGCAAGATTTACCGCAGGCAAGAAACAGTCTGCAAGAAACAACAGTGCCGTTCTTATTCATTACATCCAGTCTGAGAATTTCCTCTATATTGCTGAGCTTTTAGGTAATATTAGTATTCACCAGGTTTCCGTGAGTTCTAGTAAAGAAACTTGGGCAGTTTTAAGATTCTTGGCAGAGTCAGCAAAGATTCATTTTTAAATATGCTATTTAATGGGGAAGGTAGAAAGGATGAGTTTGAAGGGTTTGGCAGATGGTCTGGCCTCACTCATATTTCTTGCTGCGATCCTTGTTCTGTTCTAGTATCTTTTTTTAGTAGCAGGAAAACAAAGTTTCCACCCTATATTTTTCTTACCAACTTCTTGAAATCTTTTACTGAAATTGGCTTTTTTCCTTTGCCTCCTCTTCCCCTCCCATCACAATGAGTCATTGAGAACCTTAAGAAAGTATTTTGTCCTTTTCCATCAAGGAGAAGAATCTCTCTTTCCATGTACTTTTATTTCAGAAACAGACACTATGTATTTTCTGATTCATTTGGAGAAACTTCTGAAGTGACCTGGAAAAGAACAGATAGAGTAATCCTCAGCCAACTAGGAGTTGTAACGTGAATCTTTGATTAAAAGTTCGATAAAAAGTAGCCTACGGGCCAGGCGCTGTAGCTCCTGCCTGTAATCCCTGCACTTTGGGAGGCCAAGGTGGGTGGATCACCTGAGGTCAGGAGTTCGAGACCAGCCTGACCAACATGGTAAAACCCCTTCTCTACTAAAAATACAAAAATTAGCCGGGTGTGGTGGCGGGCGACTGTAATCCCAGCTACTCAGGAAGTTGAGGCAGGAGAATCGCTTGAACCCGGAAGACGGAGGTTGCAGTGAGCTGAGATCGTGCCATTGCACTCCAGCCTGGGCGACAGAGCAAGACTCCATCAAAAAAAAAAAAAAAAAAAAAAAAAACCTCGATTTTGGCAGCCATGAATATTAGAGAACTATCAAAAGGATTTATAGAGGAGAAAGTTAATGTTTTCAATTATTTTAAGTATTCAGCTTATTTTTCTCTGCCACGAAGAGTAGTCAAACTTAACCTAAAACCTCTCTCTGCTCCTTGTGATATTATCACTCCCATGCAGAGATAAAGGAATGTTCGAGACAGGGTCTCGCTCTGTCACCCAGGCTGGAGTGCAGTGGTGCAATCACAACTCACAGCAGCCTCGACCTCCCACGCTGAAGTGATTCTTCCATCTCAGCCCTCCGAGTAGCTGCAACAACAGATCGTGCCCCCATGCCAGCTAATTTTTGTATTTTTTGTAGAGACAGGGTTTCACCATGTTGCCCAGGCTGGTCTTGAACTCTTAAACTCAAGCTATCCTCCCACCTCAGCCTCCCAAAGTGTTGGGACTACAGGCACGAACCGCTGCACCTGGGCAAGAAAATTACTCTTGAAGAGATGTAGCGACTTGCACTGTCGGTGATATGGTTACCGAACTAGTAACTGATGGGGCTGAAAATTCAGAACTTAAGTCTTGCCATCTCTTTCTATGTTAGGCACTGACATAGGCTTACAGTAAAATGCTCACTGAAAGCTCCTTTATTGTACTGCAATAAGTGATAAACAATAGGAGTATCTGGGATACTGTGGGGACCTAGGGAAAGAGCCAAGTATTGCAGGACTAGCAGGCCATGAACCAGGAGAGGAAGGAGTTCCTTATAAAGGATATAGCAAGTAGGAAGTAAACATCTAGAGAGCAGCAGTTTGGGGTGACTGGCCACAGGATAGTTTCTTCAGCAACAATGCTAATGGGTGTTTCTTAGGAAATGAAGAAAAGATAGAAGATCGAACCTGTCAAAAAACTATATGAATATGTTCTATTATACCAGATGTAGTGCTTTTTACATCCTCTTAACAGCAGGGAGGCTGTATACAAGTGAAAAAATAAAATTTAAGTGGCCTAGAATGCTCAAGTTGGCTGATCAGTGCATTGTCTGCCAACTTGAGAGTACTGAAACAATATCAAATGATTGCTTGGCGAGTACTCATTCTTTCATTGTGCAAAATATTGCTTACTAAGTACTTACTCTCTTCCAGGAATTGTGCTAGGGGCTGGGGACACAACAATCTAGTGACCTCAAAGGAGAGAAAGTTAATCATTAGACAAGCTATTATTTCATAGCGTGAGATGAGAAATAAAGGAATTTGGGTGCTTTATGAGCTTCACAATCAGCTGCTTACCATAGACCTGAGGTTGAGACTTCCTAGAGAAAGTGATGATGGCTGAGTGGGGACCTAAAGGAGTAGGAATGAGCCAAGGAAATTAGATGAAACAGTGCCAGGCAAGAGAGAGCAGCATGTGCAAGAGCAAAGAAAGCAAGACACACGTTAAATTGCAGGAGCATAGAGAACAGGGAGGAAAGTAGCCAGTTATGTAACTAGAAAAGCAAAGATACTATGTAGCGTTTTCTAAGCAACATCAAGGGGATTAGTCTT
Source organism: Homo sapiens (assembly GCF_000001405.40). Lineage (NCBI taxonomy): Eukaryota > Metazoa > Chordata > Mammalia > Primates > Hominidae > Homo > Homo sapiens. The sequence continues at coordinate 74,080,865 of NC_000014.9, read as the reverse complement.
TATTCCAAGGGCAGTGGAAAGCCAAAGAAGAATTTTAAACAAGGGAATAATCTGACCAGATTTATGTTTCAGAAAGACCCTCTGATTATGGGATGGAAACTAGATTCAGAAAGTTTAAGAGTAGGCTGGGTGTGATGGCTCATGCCTGTAATCCCAACACTTTGGGTGGCCCAGGCAGGAGGATCGCTTGAGGCTAAGAGTTCAAAACCAGCCCTGGCAAGATAGGGAGGCCCCATCTCTACAAAAAAAAATTTTTTTTAATTAGCTGGGCATGGTGGCATGTGCCTGTACTCCTAGGTACTTGGGAGACTGAGGCAAGAGGATCACTTGAGCCTGAGAGCGAGGTCGTGTGCACCTGTGGTCCCAGGTACTTGGGAGGCTAAGGCAGGAGGATCACCTAAGCCCTGGAGATTGAGGCTACAGTGAGCTGTGGTTGTGCCACTGCACTCTAGCCTGGGTGACAGAGTGAGACTCTGTCTCAAAAAAAAAAAAAAAAAGAAAGAGTTTAACATTAGAGGCTGAGAGATGTGTTAGGAAGCTATTATGGAAGGTCAAGTGAGAGACAATGATGGTATAGACTGGGATAATGGCAGGACAGCTAGAGGTGAGTGATGTGTTTCAAACAATTCTAGGACAGACTGCCAGGAGTTTTTTGCTTCCCTGCAGAGAGAGAGGGAGGAATTGGAATAGTATCTGGGTTTCTCCTTTGGCAACTTGTTAAGGAGTAGCCCTATTTACCGAGAGGTGGGCTATAGGAGGCATAGCAAACTGGCAAAAGGAAGATGCAGAGTTTAGCTTTTGCTTTTGTTTTTTGGTTTTTGTTTTTTTAAGATAGGGTCTCGCTCTGTCACCCAGGCTGGAGTGCAGTGGCACAATCGCAGCTCACTGTAGCCTCAATCTCCAAGGCTTAGGTGATCCTCCTGCCTTAGCCTCCCAAGTACCTGGGACCACAGGTGCACATGACCATGCCCAACTAATTTTTAAAATTATCCGTAGAGGTCACATGTCGTGGCTCACACCTGTCATCCCAGAACTTTGGGAGGCCAAGGTGGGCAGATCATTTGAGGCCAGGAGTTCAAGACCAGCCTGGCCAACATGACAAAACCGCATCTCCACTAAAAATACAAAAAATTAGGCCAGGCGCAGTGGCTCACGCCTGTAATCCCAGCACTTTGGGAGGCTGAGGCGGGCGGATCATGAGGTCAGGAGATCGAGACCATCCTGGCTAACATGGTGAAACCCCATCTCTACTAAAAATACAAAAAACTAGCCAGGCATGGTGGCGGGCGCCTGTAGTCCCAGTTACTCAAGAGGCTGAGGCAGGAGAAGGTGTGAACCCAGGAGGCGGAGCTTGCGGTGAGCCAAGATCGCGCAACTGCACTCCAGCCTGGGCGACAGAGTGAGACTCTGTCTCAAAAAAAGAAAAAAAAAAAAAACAATAAGAAAAAAAAATTAGCCGGGTGTGGTGGCATATGCCTGTAATCCCAGCTACTCAGGAGGCTGAGGCAGGAGAATCGCCTGAACCCGGGAGGTGGAGGTTGCAGTGAGCCGAGATTGCGCCATTGTACTCCATTGAGTGCAGGCAGGTCTCAAATTCCTGAACGCAAGTGATCTTCCCACCTCAGCCTCCCAAAGTGCTGGGATTACAGGCGTGAGCTACTGTGCCCAGCCACCTTTTTTTAACATGTGCCCAAGTAACATCCAAATAGAGATGTGGTAAAGATAATTACGTGGGTATCACCTGAAGAGGAAAATACTGGCCAAGGACTAAAGAGTTGGGCATCATCAGGATCTAGATAGTTAAGCCATGAGAGTTGATAAAATCACCCAAGGAGCATATACAGAATGAGAAGAAAAGAAGGCCTAGGACCAAGCCTTGGGAAACTTAAAGAGTTAATGGCAGCCTGGTGGGGTGGCTCACCCCTGTAATCCCAGCACTTTGGGAGGCCAAGATGGTCAGATCACCTGAGGTCAGGAGTTCGAGACCAACCTGGCCAACAAGGTGAAACACTGTCTCTACTAAAAATACAAAAATGTGGCCAGGTGCAGTGGCTCACACCTGTAATCCCAGCACTTTGGGAGGCTGAGGCAGGCAGATCACTTGAGGTCAGGAGTTTGAGACCAGCCTGGCCAACATGTTGAAACCCCATCTCTACTAAAAATACAAAAAATTAGCTGGATGTGGTGGCACATGCCTGTAATCCCAGCTACTCAGAAAGCTGAGGCAGGAGAATCACTTGAACCCGGGAGGTGGAGGTTGCAGTGAGCCAAGATTGCACCACTGCACTCCAGCCTGGGTGACAGAGTGAGACTCTGTCTCAAAAAAATAAAATAATAAAAGCAAATTAGCTGGGTGTGGTGGTATGTGCCTGTGGTCTCAGCTATTTGGGAGGCTGAGGCAGGAAGATGGCTTGAGCCCAGGAGATGGAGGCTGCAGTGAGCTATGATCATGCCACTGCATTCCAGCCTAGGAGACAGGACGAGACCCTATCTCAAAAAAAAAAAGTATATACCTCTTCATCCAGTCCACATATATTGATCGTGCACCACTGTCTCGGTCACTTTTCCTGCATGGAGCTTGCTGGCTACCTTCTCCATTAGGTTGAGTTCAGTTTTGTAGGTTTGCTAGTAGGAAGTTGAGAAGTTCTCATCTGATGGTTTCTGTGTGCTCTGAAGTAAGAAAAACAAAGTCAGCTCCTGAAAGTACAAGAGGAATTAGTAGAATTGGGAGTTTTAAGATAAAGTTGTGGAATAGCAAAGAGTGAAAATAAACAATAAGTGTTTATTATTTATAGAAATGGAGTCTCGTTATGTTCCCCAAGCTGGTCTTGAACTGGGCTCAAGAGATCCTCCTGCCTCAGCTTCCCGAGTAGTTGGGACTACAGGCAGAAATCACCGTGCCGTTATTTACAATGACATAACAATAAGATTTAATGAGTACCAGCTTTGTGCTAACTACTTTTCTATAACTGGACAGTCCTGATCAGGTTTAATCTTTAACTCTGAAGTAGGTGAACAAGACAGATGCAGTGTCAACCCTCCTGAAACTGACAGTCTTTATGGGTAACAGATAAGTACCCAGGTGCTGTGGCTTGGATATGGTTGGTTTGTCTCCACCAAAACTCATGTTGAAATTTAATCTCCAATGTGATAGTGTTGGGACCTAGTGGGAGGTGTTTGGGTCATGGGGGTGGATCCCTCATGAATGGCTTTGTGCTGTAGTGAGTGAATTCTTGCTCTTTTGAGACTGGATTAGTTCCCATGGGAATGGATTAGTTCCTGTGTGAGTGGGCTATAAAGCCAGGATACCCCCCCAGTTTTGCCTCTTCACACAGGTCTGCTTCCCCTTTGATCTTCTCTGTTATATTATGACACAGGACAGAAGCCCTCGCCAGAAGCTAGAGCCATTCCCTTGAACTTCCCAGCCTGCAGAATCATGAACTAAATAAACTACTTTTCCTTATAAATTGCCCAGTCTCAGGTATTTTGTTATAGCAACACAAAACGGAATAAGATACCAAACAATTACAACACAGAGAGATAAGCCTGAAACGGGAAGTATTGGCTGCTTTCAGAGGACAAAAAAGGGCCTCTTAACCTAGTTTGGGGTAGGAAGCAGACAGGAATGGGCTTCTATTTTATTCAGCAGATATTTACTGAACACCTACTACCTACCGAGTACTATATTGGTATTGGGAACATAGCTATAAATAAGACATGATGGGCTCCAGGAGAGTGTCAGTGGTTTGAAATGGCTTTGGTAGGGAATAGAAGAGCAAACAGATGAGGTATTTGGAAGGACTATCTGCTGGACCAAAGGACCACCACCTTTTCCTGGGCAGTGCTGCAGGCACCCTTCATGCAGCTCTATACTCTGGTTAACAGAGTCCCTTTTCAGGCAAGATAAAAGATTATTAGATTGCAGCTTTCCTTTATATCCCAGTCCTGAGTATTTTAGTTTGCTCATTTTGATTGGCTTAAGTATTTCTTAAATCAACTTTGATAACATATATATAGGCTGGGTGCAGTGGCTTACACCTGTAATCCCAGCACTCTGGGAGGCTGAGGCGGGTGGATCACCTGAGGTCAGGAGTTTGAGACCAGCCAGGCCAACATGGTGAAACCCCATCTCTACTAAAAATACAAAAAAAATAAAATAAAATTAGCCAGGCATGGTGGCGGGTGTCTGTAATCTCAGCTACTCAGGAGGCTGAGGCAGGAGAAAAGCTTGAACCCAGGAGGTGGAGGTTGCAGTGAGCCAAGGTCATGCCACTGTACTCCAGCCTGGTCAATGAGAGCAAAATTCTGTCTCAAAAAATAAATAAATAAAAAGAAAATTAGCTGGGCGTGGTGGCAGACACCTATAATCTGAGCTACTTGGCAGGCTGAGGCAGGAGAATCGCTTGAACACGGGAGGCAGAGGTTGCAGTGAGCCGAGATCATGCCACTGCACTCCAGCCTGGGCGACAGAGTGAGACTCCATCTCAAAAAATCAACTTTGATAACATATATACAGACTTTTTTAGTGAGTTACAATTTGAGAGTTATCTTGTTGAAACTGATCCTCCCCGTTTACTGATTTTACTCCATCAAATATTATCTATCCAACACATTTTTTCCTTTAATGTACCTATGGCATTTCAATATAGCTTTATTAAAATAAAATTGACACAAAACAATCTGTACATATTTAAAGTATGCAGTTTGATGAGTTTTAACATTTGTATACACCTGTGAAAATAGCATCACAATCAACATAATGAACATATGTCCATCACCCCAAAAAGTTTCCCTCGTCATCCCTAGGTAACCACTGTTCTGCTTTCTGATATTACAGATTTGTTTGCATTCTCTAGTGTTACATAAGTAGAATCATACAGTATGTACTTTTATTATCTAACTTCTGTCTCTTGCCATAATTATTATGACTATTTATATTGCATGTATCAGCAGGTCATTCCTTTTTTTGCTGAGTAGTATTCCAGTGTATGAATATACCACATTAGTTTCCTTATTCACCCATCCAATGGTAGACATTGGGTTGTTTCCAAGTTTTGGGCTACTACAAATAAAGTTCTTATGAACATTCATTTTTCAAATACCTATATGGACATAATTTTAATTGCATTTGGTAATAAATTTTGATTTATATTTACATTGATTATATACTCTATTACTTATATTTATATTTACATTGATTTTTTTTTTTGAGACAAGGTCTCCCTCTCTCTTCCTGGCTGGAGTGCAGTGGCATAATCACGGTTCACTGCAGCCTCACCCTCCCGGGCTGAAGCAATCCTCCCACCTTGGCCTCCCTAGTAGCTGGGACCACAGGCATGTGCCACCACTGCCTGGCTAATTTTTTAATTTTTTGTAGACAAGGTTTTGCCATGTTGCCCAGGGTGGTCTCAAAACTCCTAGACTCAAGTGATATACCCGTCTCAGCTTCCCAAAGTGCTGAGATTACAGGCGTGAGTCACCATGCCCAGCACATTGATTTTATATGATCTTAAATTCAGTACCTATTGTGTTAGATACCATGCTAAGTATTTTCATATTGTTAGATTTATGGTACATTTGCCAGGCCCAAATTAGGAAAATATAATGACAAAAAGATTTTTTTTAATCAGTACTATCCTGGAAATATAGGACATGATTATTATGGTTTATTGTTTGTTCATAGTTTGCTGTGTCATAGATTCATATCTTTTCTCTTTAATGACTGTATGGCCTTTGAGAGAAACATACCCCCTATATACTATAGCAAATAGCATATAGTAGCTATTTGCTAAATTTTAAATAACTTTCTGCTCTCATTTATCAAAATAATCGTTCTTTTGCCTCACAGGTTTCTTCCAAGGTGAAATCCAGTCCCACCTGGTATTCAGCATCTTCCTTCTCTTCTTCAGTGGTGAGTTTATTTGGCATAGAGGTTGACTTCTGAGAAGGAATTCAGTATAGTTTTGGGTATCTCTATCTTCTTTACATAATTGTCATCAGAGTGTATGTGAAACTTTCTAGTTTTTTCCTCCTTTTGGATTATTTCCCTCCTGAAATGGATTACCATGTCAAAAGATACAAACATTTTCATGGCTTCTAGAGGTTCTGCTGACCCTGCCAGATAGTTGTCTTCTTCTTAATGACCTTTAGAGTGGTTTTTACAGATCATCTGTCTGTCAACCACTTCCAGCATCTAAAATCTAATAAATAAGGACTATTGCTCAAATTCTTTCTACACAGAAGTATGCACACACTGTACCACAGTAGGTCACCATTTTTTGGTTCATAGACCGCTTTAAAAATTTAGTGTCCCAGCACTTTGGGAGGCTGAGGCAGGTGGATCACGAGGTCAAGAGATCGAGACCATCCTGGCCAACATGGGGAAACCACATCTCTACTAAAAATACAAAACTTAGCTGGGCATGGTGGCACGCACCTGTAGTCCCAGCTACTCTGCGGGCTGAGGCAGGAGAATCGCTTGAATTCGGGAGGCGGAGGTTGCAGTGAGCCAAGATCGCACCATTGCACTCCAGCCTGATGACAGAGCGAGACTCCGTTTCAAAAAAAAAAAAAAAAATTTAGTGAAAGGGGCCGGGCGCAGTGGCTCACCCCTGTAATCCCAGCACTTTGGGAGGCTGAGGCAGGTGGATTGTCAGAGTTCAAAAGTTCGAGACCAGCCTGGGAGACATGGTGAAACCCCATCTCTACAAAAAATTAGCCAGGCGTGGTGGTGCGTACCTATGGTCCCAGCTGCCTGGGAGGGTGAGGTAGAGGGACTGCTTGAGCCTGGGAGGCAGAGGTTGCAGTAAGCCAAGATTGTGCCACTGCACTCCAACCTGGGTGACAAAGTAGACTCTATGTTAAAAAAAAAAAAAATTAGTTAAAGTGAGCTATATCTCAGAAAAAAATACATAGAAACATTTTCAAAATCTTTTTTTTTTTTTTTTTGAGATGGAGTCTTACTCTGTCACCCAGGCTGGAATGCAGTGGCGTGATCTCAGCTCACTGCAACCTCCACCTCCCAGGTTCAAGTGATTCTCCTGCCTCAACCTCCCGAATAGCTAGGATTACAGTCGCATGCCACCAAAACCAGTTGATTTTTGTGTTTTTAGTAGAGACAAGGTTTCACCATGTTGTCCATGGTTGGTCTAGAACTCCTGACTTCAACTGATCCACCTGCCTCGGCCTCCCAAAGTGCTGGGATTACAGGCGTGAGCCATTTGCCCAGCCAAAAATCTTTTGATCATAAAGGTAATACATGCTCACAGTAATGTAACAGTCAGCTGGGCCAAAAAGTCATAATAGCTAATCTTTATTAACAGAGTTGCTGCTTTTTTAGTATAAGCTTCATAATATCGTGTTTCTACTCATGAAGTTCCACTGTGTGAATAGCAGGGAATTTCCCATTCTCAGAGAGATCACAGTATTGAGAGGCTGTGCCACATCTTAATATATACTATAGTCTGGGCACGATGACTCACGCCTGTAATCCCAGCACTTTGAGAGCCTGACGCAGGTGGATCACTTGAGCCCAGGAGTTCGAGACCAGCCAGGCAATATGGCCAAACCCCGTCTCTATCAAAAGTACAAAAAAATTAGCTGGGCATGGTAGCATGTGCCTGTAGTCCCAGCTGCTCAGGAGGCTGAGGTGGGAGAATCACCTAAGCCCTGGGGGTTGAGGCTGCAGTGAGTCATGATCACACTACACTCCAGCCTGGGCAACAGAGTGAGACCATGTCTCAAAAAAATAAAAAATAAAAAATAAGGGCCAGGTGCAGAGGCTCACGCCTGTAATCCTAGCACTTTGGGAGGCCGAGGTGGGTGGATCACCTGAGGTCAGGAGTTCGAGATCAGTCTGGCCGACATGGTGAAACCCCATCTCTACTCAAAATACAAAAATTAGTTGGGTGTTGTGGCGGGTGTCTGTAATCTCAGCTACTCGAAGGGCTGAGGCAAGAGAATTGCTCGAACCCGGGAATCAGAGGTTGCAGTGAGCCGAGATCATACCACTGTGTGCTCCAGACTGGGGGACAAGAGCGAAACTCTGTCTCAAAAAAAAAATAAACACACACACACAGAATAGATAGGGATATTATGTGTCTCTTTCCTAGTGGTAACATTTCTAAAGACCAGAAGATTCCGTTATCAACTTGTTTTCTTTCCTTTTGGTGCAAGGGAAAGGGAAAAGCAAAGCAATTAGCTAATACAAAGTTTCATGTTTTTGTTTGTTTGTTTGTTTGTTTGTTTTTTTCAGCCAACTGTAAAGCTCTTCATTGGTGGGAAATTCGTTGAATCCAAAAGTGACAAATGGATCGATATCCACAACCCAGTAAGCGAAGCTGCTTTGGGACTTCAACTTATGAGCCTAGAATTCTAGGGACATGATGGGCAAGAAGGGACCTGGGTGTCTGTTGTAAAGCACATAGTGCCACTTCTGTGACTGGATGTACAGTGGAGAAGGTGAGTCAGGCAAAGGATCATGTGCTTATTTTTCTCATCAGGCCACCAATGAGGTCATTGGTCGGGTCCCTCAGGCCACCAAGGCAGAAATGGATGCAGCCATTGCTTCCTGCAAACGTGCTTTTCCTGCATGGGCAGACACTTCAGTATTAAGCCGCCAGCAGGTCTTGCTCCGCTATCAACAACTTATTAAAGAAAACTTGGTATGAAATCTAAATGGTATGCTTTTCCAAACTGTCACCTAGGGCATGTTTGTCACTCTCACAGAGACCTTTTCAGCCACCCTCCCTTACTCTGCAGTATGCAGAGACGTTGATCATGACTCTCTCCCTTGTACTGCATCTCCTCCAGTCTTATTCTTCCTTTGCTACCTCAGAATTTAAAAGAGGAACATTCTTGCATTAATTTCTATTTGTGTGTCTTCTCTCTAGAAAGAAATTGCCAAGTTAATCACATTGGAACAAGGGAAGACCCTAGCTGATGCTGAAGGAGATGTATTTCGAGGCCTTCGTAAGCTGGGAGCCCCTTATGGGACTTTTGGGAAGGACCAAAGGAAGATGGGAGGCAAAGATCGCAGAATGGGAGGTTGCTTCTTCCTTTACATAGATTTTGCCATCCCATGATATCTTTTTTAATACTTGTGAAAAATGGCAGTATTCAGTATCCCTAAGACTGATTTACTTTACTCTTTACTCAAATGATCTTCCAGTGGGTATATACATATCGCTGTATTTTTCCCATTCAGAGAATCTCATTTTGCACAAACCCTTAACTTGGAAGGGCAAGTCAGTGTACCCTGCACCCCTTCATTGGCCTGAACCACTTCCTGTCCTCAGGGCTGAAGAGAACAGGACAAAGCTAACTAGTACACAGTGTGGAGAGCTGATGGCCTGACTTCTGTGTTCCAGAGGTGGTTGAGCATGCCTGTAGTGTGACATCCCTCATGATGGGAGAGACCATGCCATCCATCACCAAAGACATGGACCTTTATTCCTACCGTCTGCCTCTGGGAGTGTGTGCAGGCATTGCTCCATTCAATTTTCCTGCCATGATCCCCCTTTGGATGTTTCCCATGGCCATGGTGTGTGGAAATACCTTCCTAATGAAACCATCTGAGCGAGTCCCTGGAGCAACTATGCTTCTTGCTAAGTTGCTCCAGGATTCTGGTGCCCCTGATGGAACATTAAACATCATCCATGGACAGCATGAAGGTAACTGCCCTTATGCATATGGCTACTTAATCTGGCTACCAAAAAATCAAGGTGTTGAGTGATGGTTGGATGTTTTAGGATAAGGAACCTACTTGTAAGGAGGAAAGGATTTACTCATTTTAACCTCCATGTTTGTTGATGATTTTGCCATCTTTGTGCGCCAAGGTAACTGATTGGGGAATAGCAGTGCTTGTTGCCCTACAGTATATATTGGGACACTAGAAATATGGATTAGGGCTAGACACAGATAAGATTAAAAAGAAACTTTTTTCTTCAGTGTGAAGAGAATACATGAGGGTATTTAATTCAGAGAATTTGCAGATCTCAGAGATACTGAAGGCCTTCTAATTCATGTAATAATAGCTAATACTTAAATAGTGCTTCTGTGTTTCAGGCACCGTTCCTAGTGCTTTTTATCTATTAATCTTTATAATCACCCTTTGAGGTAGGTATTATTTTTCCATTTTGCAGAAGAGAAAAATGAGACATAGTGAAATTAATTAGCCCAAAGTCACAGTGCTAGAAAAAGCCAGGATGTGTATACCCATCCAGGAAGGCTGACTCTGATTTTTGCTTTTAAAAACTACACTATATTACCTCTTACATGAGAACACAATAGTGTCTGAGTGTCCCAGTACATAGTCACCATTGAGGAAATATTGTTATTCTTTTTTTTGAGATGGAGTCTCCCTCTGTCGCCCAGACTGGAGAGCAGTGGTGCGATCTCGGCTCACTCTACCCGCTGCCTCCCAGGTTCAAGCAATTTTCCTGCCTCTGCCTCTTAAATAGCTGGGATTACAGGCATGCGCCACCGTGCCCCACTAATTTTGTTATTTTTAGTACAGATGGGGTTTCACCATGTTGGCCAGGCTAGTCTCAAACTCCTGACCTCAGGTGATCCACCCGCCTCGGCCTCCCAAAGTGCTGGGATTACAGGTGTGAGCCACTGTGCCTTGCCTATTGTTATTCTTAAAGGACAAAAAAGAAGGGTTCAGTATTCAAAGGCTGTTATTTTGGAGGAAAATAGGAGTTGCAGCCTTCAAAGTTAGATTAAGGCTGGGTGCAGTGGCACATACCTGTGATCCCAGCACTTTGGGAGGTGAAGGCAGGCGGATCACTTGAGCCCAGGAGTTCGAGACCAGCCTGGGCCATGTGGCGAAACCCCCGTCTCTACAAAAAAAATACAAAAATTAGCCAGGAATGGTGGCATGTGCAGGTAGTCCCATGAGGTGGGAAGACAGCTTGAGCCTGGCAAACAGAGGTTGCAGTGAGCCAAGACTGTACCACTGTACTCTAGCCTAGGTGAAACAGTGAGACCCTGTCTCAAAAAAAAAAAAAAAAAAAGGTTAGATTAGAAGTAGAAATTCTGGAATAGCAAATGAGAAAAATCATGAAAGGAAAGAGACTAAATAGAATTTATTTTTATATTTTTTATTGTTTTGAGATGGAGTTTTGCTCTTGTTGCCCAGGCTGAGGCGCAATGGCACAATCTCGGCTCGCTGCAACCTCTGCCTCCCGGGTTCAAGCAATTCTCCTGCCTCAGACTCCCAAGTAGCTGGGATTACAGGTGCCCACCACCACATTTGGCTAATTTTTTTGTATTTTTAGTAGAGACAGGGTTTCACCATATTGGCTAGGAAGGTCTCGAACTCCTGACCTCAGGTGATCCACCTGCCTCGGCCTCCCAAAGTGCTGGAATTACAGGCATGCGCCACCGTGTCCAGCCGGCTAAATAGAATTTAAAAGAAACAAGGAGAGAACTTCACAATGAGAATCCAGTACAGAAAAACACAGGCCTGATGCAGTGGCTCACACCTGTAATCCCAGCATTTTGGGAGGCCAAGGCGAGTGGATCACGAGGTCAGGAGTTCAAGACCAGCCTGGCCAAGATTGTGAAACCCCGTGTCTACTAAAAATACAAAAATTAGGCAGGCATGGTGGTGGGTGCCTATAATCCCAGCTGCTTGGGAGGCTGAGGCAGAGAATTGCTTGAACCTGGGAGGCGGAGGTTGCAGTGAGCCGAAATTGTGCCACTGCACTCCAGCCTGGGCAACAGAGCGAGACTCCGTCTCAAAAAAAAAAAAAAAAAAAAAGAAAAAGTAAAAGAAAAACACAGGAAAACTTCAAATCCATAGCAGTGGGGAAAGGGGAAATTTGCCATGTTGAGAATCCATTTGCTCCTTTGTGAGTGATCATTTATTTTCTTCTTAAAGCTGTAAATTTTATTTGCGATCATCCGGACATCAAAGCAATCAGCTTTGTGGGATCCAACAAGGCAGGAGAGTATATCTTCGAGAGAGGATCAAGACATGGCAAGAGGGTTCAAGCCAATATGGTGACTTCTTATTCCTTTTTTCTCCAATCTTTGTTCTATATATGAAAATTACCTAGGAACAGACCTTCAGCAGAGAGGCCACTCATCCCACTCCAATGTCAGTGTTTCTTTCTTTTTTTTGAGACAGAGTCTCTCTGTCACCAAGCTGGAGTGCAGTGGCATGATCTCGGCTCACTGCAACCTCTGCCTCCCGGGTTCAAGCGATTCTCCTGCCTCAGCCTCCCGAGTAGCTGGGAATACAAGCACATGCCACAGCGCCCGGCTAATTTTTCTATTTTTTTTCAGTAGAGACAGGGTTTCACCATGTTGGCCAGGATGGTTTCGATCTCCTGACCTCATGATCTGCCCGCCTCGGCCTCCCAAAGTGCTGGGATTACAGGCGTAAGCCTTACCATATCCTCCTGAATGTCTTCTCTTTAATCATGAACCTTTTGAGGAGTTTCATTCTAAGTCACGTTAATCACTTTTTTTCTTTTTTTTTGAGACAGAGTCTTACTCTGTCACCCAGGCTAGAGTGCAGTGGTGCCATCTCAGCTCACTGCAACCTCCACCTCCCAGGTTCTAACAATTCTCATGCCTCAGCCTCCTGAGTAGCTGGGATTACAGGTGCCTACCACCACACCCAGCTAATTTTTGTATTTTAAGTAGAGACAGGGTTTCTTGGCCAAGCTGGTCTTGAACTCCTGACCTCAAGTGATCCACCCACCTCAGCCTCCCAAAGTGCTGGGATTACAGGCATGAGCCACCATGCCTGGCCTCTTTCTTGAAATTCTACATCAAGAGGTCTACTTTCTGTTTTGCCTTTCAGCTGGTTACTGGCATTATTGCTGTAAGGCTGTAAGTTCTTTTTTTTTTTTTTTTTAACATTGCTCTTCATATAACTAAAAAACCCAGCAGACAACAAATTCCTGTTTTTTGTTTGTTTGTTTGTTTTGAGACAGGGGTCTCACTCTGTCACCCAGTCTGGAGTACAATGGTGTGATCTTGGCTCACTGCAACCTCCGCCTCCCAGGATCAAGTGGTCCCCCTACCTCAGCTTCCCAAGTAGCTGGGACCACAGACTGGTGCCATTATGCCTGGCTAATTTTTTGTATTTTTTGTAGAGATGGTGTTTCACTATGTTGCCTAGGCTGGTCTTGAACTCCTGACCTCAAGTTATCCTTCTCACCTCAGCCTTCCAAAGTGCTGGGATTACAGGCATTAGCCACCACACCTGGTCCACTGCTTAATTTCTTAGCTTAGTTGTATTTGGCCAAGGAAGACTCATGTGCTTTCTGCATTTTTTTTTAGGGAGCCAAGAACCATGGGGTAGTCATGCCAGATGCCAATAAGGAAAATACCCTGAACCAGCTGGTTGGGGCAGCATTTGGAGCTGCTGGTCAGCGCTGCATGGCTCTTTCAACAGCAGTCCTTGTGGGAGAAGCCAAGAAGTGGCTGCCAGAGCTGGTGGAGCATGCCAAAAACCTGAGAGTCAATGCAGGTAATCAATCACCTGACTTGCCCCCTTAGATTTTGCATCTGTGGCATTAAGCTCTTGGGTTCTGTCACTGGCCTTGGCCAGTGGGAACAATCATGTCTATTCTTGCCATTTCCTCTCTTTATACTGTACTTGTCATTTGGAGTCATCTTGTTAGCAGTCTTTTTTTTTAAAGCACAGGCTGTCTGTTACCCAAGCTGGAGTGCAGTGGCACCATCCTAGCTCATGGCAGCCTCAAACTGTTGGGCTCAAGTGATCCTCCTGCCTCAGCCTCCTGAGCAGCTTGGACCACAGGTGCGGGCCACCACCTGGCTAATTTTTTTATTTTTTGTAAATATGAAGTCTCACTTTGTTGCCCAGGCTGGTCTGGAACTCCTGGGCTCAAGCAGTCCTCCTGCCTTGGCCTCCTAAAGCTTTGGGATTACAGGCATGAGCCCTGGCAGCAGTCATAATTTATGTTAATGAGGACCTTAAATTCTTCTGTGTTGTTTTACAGGAGATCAGCCTGGAGCTGATCTTGGCCCTCTGATCACTCCCCAGGCCAAAGAGCGAGTCTGTAATCTGATTGATAGTGGAACAAAGGAGGGAGCTTCCATCCTTCTTGATGGACGAAAAATTAAAGTGAAAGGCTATGAAAATGGCAACTTTGTTGGACCAACCATCATCTCGAATGTCAAGGTGAACAACTTTCACTTCACAAATATGAGAGCTGAAGGCACCTTAAAGGCTATAGAATCTCATCCCTCTAATTTATTAATGAAAATACTTAATGACTAAGACCTTATCTCTTGCCAGGATTGATCAATTATTTTATCTGGAGTCTGAATGAGCCTCTCCTTCTAACTCCCAACCAAACTCTTTCCACTATACCAGCAGTCTGCAGACTTTCCATAAAGGGATAGATATTTCCAGCTTTGCAGGGATATAGTGTCTGTTGCAACTAAACTCTGACATTGTAGTGTGAGATCAGCTATAAACATTGTGTGGCTGTGTTCCAAAAAAAATGTTATTTATGGACACTGATATTTGAATTTCATATCATTTTATATATGATTAATTTTTTTTCAACCATTTAAAAATGCAAAAACCATTTTTAACTTGGGGCTGTACAAAAACAGGCAGGAAGCCACATTTGGCCCACAGGCTATAGTTTGCCAAACGCTATCTTATCTTATACTGGTTTGTTAATGTTTTCTCTCCCCTCTCCCTCTTGCTGCCTAGCTTATGGCTACTGCAGTGTCTCAATCAATATATCAACCACCCAATATTTATTGAAAGTGACAAAAATAATTGACTTGTCAATTTTTATTTATCAAAACTTTGAAAGTCTCTCAGCTAACATGACTTAAAAATTGAGGTTATGAGGCATTTTTTGAAATTCATATATCCTTACTATAATAGTGAATCATCAAGTGTTGAATGTAAGTGCAGTAGAAATTATGAAATCTCTTGCCACAGAACCATACAGAAAAATCCGTTTATCAGCAACAAACATTAATTGCATGGTGAAGGATGTTTTGAGTGTCTGCGACCTGATATCAAAATATAAACATACAGACATATTTGGGAGGCAAAGGAGTGAATAAGAATGGATTATTTATGTTACAGAAAACAGCATGGGGTTTCTGTAAAGAGAAAAATTATCCTGGTATATTTACTATAGATTGGATTTATAAAAAATAAATTTTCATGTAACTTTTTGATAACAATTGGATGAAACTAGTCGTTCAGGTATTAAAAAGGCAGCTGATGATGGGTCATGAACTAAAGATACAGTCCCTTAAAGGAAGTGTGGTTATTGTTGATAGGAATTCCAAGTTGTTTATATGATTGGTAACTTGGAAGACGGAATACACTTGAGAGAGGACTTTTTTTTTAAATAGGTGATTTGAAATGAAAAGAGATTAGTAATATGAAAGTTGTCCACGTAAATGATGTGTAGTAAGTGAAAGTACCAAATAAGCATAAAATACTCAGAATCCAAAAAGCTGACTTCTTTTCTGGATGCATCACTCCTGGCAGCCAAATATGACCTGTTACAAAGAGGAGATTTTTGGTCCAGTTCTTGTGGTTCTGGAGACAGAAACATTGGATGAAGCCATCCAGATTGTAAATAACAACCCATATGGAAATGGAACTGCCATCTTCACCACCAATGGAGCCACTGCTCGGAAATATGCCCACTTGGTGGATGTTGGACAGGTTCGTGAACAGAATTTTTAAGAGATTCTTATATCCATTTACTATTTCCTAAGAGGAAACAGTAAATAATGGTGAGTCATTGGTTTAAGATTGCCCCCATGACCTCCCACATTGCCCCATTTCTTCCTCAGGAATGAAAGTTCATGGGGTAGAGGATAGGGTAGAAGGTGGGTATTTAAAACTGGTCTCTGATGCCTTTGTGTTTCTAAATGGAGAGTTCCTTTGTCCTTAGGATATGACACGGATTTGTTCTGTTTTAGGTGGGAGTGAATGTCCCCATTCCAGTGCCTTTGCCAATGTTCTCATTCACCGGCTCTCGATCCTCCTTCAGGGGAGACACCAATTTCTATGGCAAACAGGTAACTTTTGAGTTAAATTTTTTGTCTTTTCCTTTAAGAAATTTTCTTAAAGATATTCAGGAGCAAGGATTCTGCAAGGAAGGGACTGCCAGCAGCATCTGTGAGGTCATAATCAGTGCTTCTCAGAAGGTTCCCTAAAAAAGATTTAAAAGTTAACAAAATTTTGCCAAAGCTGCTTCTTCCTGAATAATTCAAAGCAACAAAGTTTTGAGGAAAGAGCATGGGGAAGTCTAAGCCTTTGTATATGCCATTTCCTGAGTGTGTGACCCTCTTCCCCATCTCTCCCCTTTCATCTGACTAACTCCTAATCATCTGTCATGTCTCACTTTAAAAAATGAGCTCCTCCAGAAAATCTCCTCCAACTACCACCACCCCTCCCTCAGTGCTGGGTAGTGTGACCCCAGTGTGTTCCCATTGCACGTATTTTTTCTGTAATAGTTATTCATTTACAAAAAATGTTGTTGAGCACGTTCTTTGTAGCAGACATTATTATTACTATTATTATTATTATTTTTTTTTTTTTTGAGACACAGTCTCGCTCTGTTGCCCAGGCTGGAGTGCTGTGGCATGGTCTTAGCTCACTGCAACCTCCGCCTCCTGGGTTCAAGCACTTCTCCTGCCTCAGCCTCCCGAATAGCTGGGACTACAGGTGCCTGCCACCATGCCTGGATAATTTTTTGTTTTTTAGTAGAGACAGGGTTTCACCATGTTGGCCAGGCTGGTCTTGAACTCCTGACCTTGTGATCCACCCACCTCAGCCTCCCAAAGCACTGGGATTACAGGTGTGAGCCACTCTGCCCGGTCTGTAGCAGACATTATTTTAGGCACTATGAATACAGCACTGAACAAGAAAAGTAAAGCAGATCTGGAACCAAATTGCCTGTGTTCAAATCCCAGCTAAGCCAGTTATTAGCTGTCTGACTTTGGGGGATACCATTAATTTTTTTTTTTTTTTTGAGACAGAGTCTCACTCTGTCGCACAGGCTGGGGTGCGGTGGCACAATCTTGGCTCACTGCAACCTCCGCCTCCCAGGTTCAAGCAATTCTCCTGCCTCAGCCTCCCAAGTAGCTGGGATTACAGATGCCCACCACCACACTTGGCTAATTTTTGTATTTTTAGTGGAGATAGGGTTTCACCATTTTGGCCAGGCTGGTCTCGAATTCCTGACCTCAGGTGATCCGCCTGCCTCAGCCTCCTAAAGTGCTGGGATTACAGGCATGAGCCACCACAGCCAACCAGGATACCTTCTTTATGCCTTAAATTTATTCACGTATAAAATGAATAACAATAGTACCTATGTATTTCATAACATTGTAAGGACTGAATTATCACTATTGGCCAGGTGCAGTGGCTTACGCCTGTAATCCCAGCACTTTGGGAGGCTGAGGCAGGCAGATCACCTGAAGTCAGGAGTTTGAGACCAATCTGGCCAACATGGCAAAACCCCCTCTACTAAAAATAAAACAATTAGCCAGGTGTGGTGGCAGGTGCCTATAATCCCAGCTACTCGGGAGGCTGAGGCAGAAGAATCCTTTGAATCTGGGAGGCGGAAGTTGCAGTGAGCCGAGATTGCACCACTGGACTCCAGCCTGGGCAACAGAGCAAGACTCCATCTCAAAAAAAAAAAAAAGAAGAATTATTACTATTGCCACATCGGCCAACAGGTGCATATGTCCCGAGGCAGGAAGAAGCATGGCACATTCAGACAGCGGAAATGGGCTGGGGCACAGTGAGCAAATGAGAAGAAAAGGAAGAAATGAAGTTAGAGAGGCAGGCAGGGGTTGAGTCATGTAGGGCTCTTTAAGCCATTTAAAGAAGCCCTCATCAGACTGTAGTTGTTATCTACTTATCTGCAGTACCTGGAACAGAGCAGGCTGCCCAAACATTTGTTGAACAAATAGGCTAGGGGAAGTTCTTTCTAGTCATAGGACTAGAGCCATTTTGAAACCTTCATTAATAAATTACATGTTTTGTTATACAAGTCTCCCCTTTTATAGGTTGATTTTTTTTTTCTGTGCCAGCTATGTGCTGCCACAGGGCGAGGGATGTGGGGCTTTTTTATTTTATTTATGTTTGGGTTATTAAAAAATTAACAATGGGATTGCATAGCATTATGACAGTGTGGCCAAATGGTTAAGAAGTCAACACTTTGGTATTTGGAGGTTGATTATATAGTTTGTATATTAGTCACAGCTTTTGGTTTTTTGTTTTGGGGTTTTTTTGATGGAATCTTTCTCTGTCACCCAGGCTGGAGTATAGTGGCATGATCTTGGCTCACTGCAACCTCAGCCTCCAGGGTTCAAGCAATTCTCGTATCTATGCCTCCCGAGTAGCTGGGATTACAGGCACGTGCCACCACACCCGCCAATTTTTGTATTTGTAGTAGAGACGGGGTTTCGCCATGTTGGCCAGGCTGGTCTCGACCTCCTTACCTCAGGTGATCTGCCTGCCTCGGCCTCCCAAAGTGCTGGGATTACAGGAGTGAGTCACCGCACCCGGCCTAGTCACAGCTTTTGTAAAAATGACTAATTTGATACTAGTAACATTTCTTTTAAGCAAAACAGAGTACAACTATTGTTTAAAAATTGTTCCCTGCCCACCCTCTCCATTTATTTATTTTTTTGAGATGGGAGTTTTGCTCTGTTGCCCAGGCTGGAGTGCAATGGTGCATTCTCGGCTCACTTGCAACCTCCACCTCCCAGGTTCAAGCAATTCTGCCTCAGGCTCCACCACGCCCAGCTTTTTTTTTTTTTTTTTTTTTTTTTTTTTCCCAGTAGAGACGAGGTTTCGCCATGTTGGGCCAGGCTGGTCTTGAGCTCATGGCCTCAAGTGATCCGCCTACCTCAGCCTCCCAAAGTGCTGATATTACAAGTGTGAGCCACCGCTCCTGGCTGCACCCCCCAGTTTAATTATTATAAATTACTCTGGTAATCTGGTAAAATGTCATTCTAGCTTGCTAGTAATTATATAAGTGTTAGATCTGCACAATGTATTCTCTTTTGCTCAAGCCTACTCTTATAAACTATATCTATATATAGAGAGAGTTAAATATGCTGAATTTTTGGGCTCACATGTTATAGGTAATTGAGAAGTGAATTTGTATAATGTCAGACATTTTACTTTAGATTTCTAAGATACTTTGGGTTTGCCACTTCAATATAGAGCTCATGATCTCTGATAATTATCAGAAATGGCCGCTGGGTACAGTGGCTCATGCCTGTGATCCCAGAACTTTGGGAGACCAAGACTGGCGGATCACCTGAGGTCAGGGGTTCAAGACCAGCTTGGCCAACATGGTGCTAGCCAACATGGGCTAATCTGAAATTAGCCCTTCTCTACTAAAAATACAAAAATAGCTGGGCATGGTGGCACACACTTGTAATCCCAGCTATTCAGAAGGCTGAGGCAGGAGAATCACATGAACCTGGGAGGCAGAGGTTGCAGTGAGCCAAGATCACACCACTGCACTCCAGCCTGGGCAACAGAGCAAGACTCTGTCTCAAAATAAATAAATAAATAAATAAATGGCCTACTATATAATAGCTGGGGGCACGGTGGCTCACACTTGTAATTCCAGCACTTTGAGAGGCCGAGGAAGGCGGATCACTTGAGGCCGGGAGTTCGAGACCAGCCTGGCCAACATGGTGAAACCCCATCTCCACTAAAAATACAAAAATTAGCCAGGCGTGGTAGCAGGTGCCTGTAATCCCAGCTACTCGAGAGGCTGAGGCAGGAGAGCTGCTTGAACCCGGGAGGCAGAGGTTGCAGTGAGCTGAGATCATGCCACTGCACTCCAGCCTAAGTGACAGAGCAAGACTCCATCTCAAACAAAAAAGAAAGAAATACTAGTTTCAGCATAATAATGATGGCTAAGGTTTGATTGTTTACTATCTGCCAGGTATTATGTTAAATGTTTTAGATCAATTATCTTAGGAACAATATATATTGGATTCTGATTGCATTTCTCAATTAGGAAAGTGAGTAGCACTTTATAATACCTCCTTCAAAAGCTAATTAAAAGAAGAATCATGAAACCCCAGAAATATATGCTAACTTTTTTTCTGTTTTCCTTAGGGCATCCAATTCTACACTCAGTTAAAGACCATTACTTCTCAGTGGAAAGAAGAAGATGCTACTCTTTCCTCACCTGCTGTTGTCATGCCTACCATGGGCCGTTAGAAACAAGTTTGTTTAAGACTGACTCCATCCTGAGTAATCTCCCTTTATTTTTGACCAGCTTCATTTGTCAGCTTTGCTCAGATCAGATCGATGGGATTGGAATACATTGTAACTAAAATCTTCCTCAGGACTATTAACCCCCGCAAAGTTTCTATAGGGAACTGCCTAGTGTAACAATGAAACCAGATTTCTCACTTGCTCTTCATACTTCTATTTTGAGGTAACTGTTGTAACTATGAAATGCTTATCTGAAAGTAGTGCTTAAACCTGATTTCTAAAAATTATCCCATTTTCTGATGATTTGAAGGGGAGAAAAGCCAGTGTATGTAAAGAAAATGTTCCAGCCAGGCGCGGTGGCTCACGCCTGTAATTCCATCATTTTGGGAGGCCACAGTGGGCAGATTGCTTGAGCCCAGGAGTTGAAGAACGTGGCGAAACCCCGTATCTATTATTTAAAAAAATTGAAAAAGTAAAAAAAGAAAAGGGAAAAAAAATTTTTTAAAGAAGATGTTCCAATAATTGCAAGAAGAACTCTTAGATGGGGAAACAGGACAGAAATAACTCACCGCTTTTGGTTGATCCTCAAACATAGCGCTACCTAAATGCCACTGGGAGAGACCTCCTGCAAAGTTTTCTTTAGCCCCTCTTTTATCCCACAATACACAAGATATAATCCATTTTTATATATCCCAAAGTTGTGGCAACAGCTTCTTTCTTTTCTGCTCAATGCCACTTTGTTTCCTAGTAATTCATGACCACTATTAATTCTATCATTGTCACTGCTCCTGCTTAAGATCACTTCTCAAGGATACCTCAGTAAGCAATGGATAAATCAACTTTTTGTTATATGTGCCAAGTACTAAGTTTCAGGGTTCTCTTCAGCAATCATTAATTAATACTTCAGCCATTAATTCAGATGCAAATAATTTTCTTTTTTCTTTTTTTTGAGATGGAGTTTCACTCTTGTTGCCCAGGCTGGAGTGCAATGGCGTGATCTCAGCTCACCGCAACCTCCGCCTCCCAGGTTCAAGCGATTCTCCTGCCTCAGCCCCCCTAGTAGCTGGGATTACAGGCATGCGCCACCACACCCAGCTAATTTTGTATTTTTAGTAGAGACGGGGTTTCTCCGTGTTGGTCAGGCTGGTCTCGAACTCCTGACCTCAGGTGATCCGCCTGCCTCGGCCTCCCAAAGTGCTGGGATTACAGGCATGAGCCACCACACCCAGCCAGATGCAAATAATTTTCTTAGAAAATTATTTCAAAAGTTATTTTAGGCCCAGAAATCAAGGATTGTTCCAACCATGAAAATGGGTAAGACACCTGCCTTAAGCAAATCTAACCTGCTATTACTTGCCAAATTTTATATATTCTTTTCTCTTGCCTGTATTTCTAATTAGTGATTTGTTTAATGAAGAACTCTTCATGTAGAGCAATTAACTGGGCCTAAGAAATTTCGAAGCTTTCCATGACATAAAGTGGTTAAAAAAAAATGCTTTGACAGTCTTCTTCTGCCATTAGTTCAACTGCCTTTACGCTTTTTTTTTTTTTTTTTTTTTTGAGATGGAGTTTCACTCTTGTTGCCCAGGCTAGAGTGCAATGGCGTGATCTTGGCTCACTGCAACCTCTGCCTCCCGGGTTCAAGCAAT
Organism: Homo sapiens; assembly: GCF_000001405.40. Lineage (NCBI taxonomy): Eukaryota > Metazoa > Chordata > Mammalia > Primates > Hominidae > Homo > Homo sapiens. The sequence goes on along the minus strand of NC_000014.9, from coordinate 74,058,995 downwards.
TCTCCTGCCTCAGCCTCCTGAGTAGCTGGGATTTCAGGCATACGCCACCATGCCTGGCTAATTTTGTATTTTTAGTAGAGACAGGGTTTCTCCATGTTGGTCAGGCTGGTCTCGAACTCCCGACCTCAGGTGATCTGCCTGCCTTGGCCTCCCAAAGTGCTGGGATTACAGGTGTGAGCCACCACCCCCAGCCGCCTCTATGCTTTTTGTTTCTTTGATATATCTAAACTTAAGGTCAGAACAGAAATTCATGTGCTGAACAGAATGGATTCTTTTTGCAGTACCAATCCAATTGAATCCTCTTTTTATTTTCCTGCGTCCTTACCAGTCACTTTGATAGTGCTAACTAACCTACACTATGGGGGTTATTCATGAATTAAGTATGATAAAAAAAAAAAAGACCTTGAAAATGTTGTGTACCCTGTGGATTTGAGGCTTATTACTACCACCTGGCTGGATAAAATGTCAAAACCTTCAATCACTTAAGGTGACTGGAACTTTTGTAAAATACACTTATGATCCTACTGGGCCTTTTTTTTTTTTTTTTCTGCTTTCCTAAATATGAGGCAATAGAAATTTATAATTTGAGACTACAGTACCCCTTGTTTTAGCTCTTATCACAGCTGGCAACTGGTAGTGATTTTTTTTGTTGTTGTTTTGTTTTGTTTTGAGATGGAGTCTCGCTCTGTTGCCCAGGGTGGAGTGCAGTGGCACGATCTCGGCTCACTGCAACCTCCACCTCCTGGGTTCAAGTAATTCTCCTGCCTCAGTCTCCCGAGTAGCTGGGATTACAGGTGCATGCCCCCACACCCGGATAATTTTTTGTACTTTTAGTAGAGACAGGGTTTCACCATGTTAGCCAGGATGGTCTCAATCTCCTGACCTAATGATCCGCCCACCTCGGCCTCCCAAAGTGCTGGGATTACAGGCGTGAACCACCGCACCTGGCCCTGGTAGTGATATTTAATCCAATCCAACAACTATAGGCTGGGTTAAATAAAAGGTCATTATTGTCTATATTCCAAGTGGAATTAAATGTAGTCACAGAGATTCCTAACATTTTCCTTATATTTAAGGGAAATCACTTCTAAAAAAACACACTAATCAGAACTGTGATGCTCTAATTAGAAACAACTCATCTGGCCAACTATTTGCTGCTCAGAGTTTCTTATTTCTTAGATGAAAAAAACTCATCAGTTATATTCATGTGATCGCGGCTAAAAAGTCAGTATTTTCTTTTTGTTCTAATGTGGCTTCATTTGAAATTTCTCAGATTCTACATTGTACTAATTATGAATAACAAATTATAAATTAAAAACTCTTAAAGAGAAAAACTTGGCTTAAAAAAATCATTTCATATCTCCTTATAAGCCTTTGTCCTCTAGGTTGTAATGACTCTGACTTCCCACCTGTGATGGAAAGCTAAGAGTCACAAGGTCACTATGTTTACTCTTACGTAAAAGATAGTACACATTTTGGCTAGGCTGTTTACTTCAAAAGGCAACCTATAGGTTTCTACACAAAAAGAGGCACACATTTGCATTTGCATTAGTATAATATGCATTTGTACGGATATTGCTTTAAAAATTTATGTAATCTACTAATGCTATTTATTACTCATTCCACTGATCCCTGAAGTCTCTCAACTAGTAGAGAAAATAACCGTGATTTAGCAAGAAGCGACATGGGGAAGGGTGACAACAATATACATTGTTTGATTAGATACAGACTCCTTACTGTGTCAGACTCCTGAGGTTCTTTTGGAATAGTGGGTAGCACCACTTCACCAGAAGAGTCTGATATTGCAATTTGCTGGGTGATGAAGATTTTATCTTGAAGCTTACTTTCATCCCTGCAATAATGACAAAATAACAGAACCGTCAACAACTCTACACACATGAAACCTGGTTTAGAATAACAGACTTGTCATATTACTTTCAATTAGCACATTCAAGATGCCCACAAGAACCATCGTGTTGGGCTCATGTTTATTACTTAAGCAAGAGAGCTCTTACCCAAATTCCTTTGTTTCCCCACTGTCAGAAACAACATAGTCTGGAACTGGAGGCCTAGAACTCTGGTTGTATTTCCTGTAGTGGGTAAAAGTCAACAAAGATAATGAATGAGGCAGTGTCTCCTCATGCCTTCATATTTTCTTTTTGTATTTTAATTTTTTTTTATTTTTTATTTTTGTGGGTGATAGTAGGTATACGTATTTGTGGGGTACGTGAGATGTTTTGATACAGGCATGCAATGTGAAATAATCACATCATAGAGAATGAAGTATCCATCCCTTCAAGTATTTATCCCTTGTGTTACAATCCAATTACACTCTTTTAGTTATTTTAAAATGTATAACTGGCCAGGGGCAGTGGCTCATGCCTGTAATCCCAGCACTTTGGGAAGCCGAGGTGAGTGGATCATCTGAGGTCAGGAGTTTGTGACCAGCCTGGCCAACATGGTGAAACCCTGTCTTTACTAAAAATACAAAATTAGGGCCGGGCACAGTGGCTCATGCCTGTAATCTCAGCACTTTAGGAGGCTGAGGCGGGCAGGTCACCTCAGGTCAGGAGTTCGAGACCAGCCTGGATAACATGGTAAAACTCCATCTCTACAAAAAAATACAAAAATTAGCCAGGCATGGTGGTGGCCCCTGTAATCCTAGCTACTCGGGAGGCTGAAGCACGAGAATCACTTGAACCAGGAGGCAGAGGTTGCAGTGAGCCGAGATTACATCACTGCACTCCAGCCTGGGCAACAGAATGAGACTCCTTCTCAAAAAAAAAAAAAAAAAAAATTAGCCGGGCGTTGTGGCACATGCCTGTAGTCCCAGCTACTCAGTAGGCTGAGGTGGGAGGATCACTTGCACCTGGGAAGTGGAGGTTATAGTGAGCTGTGATTGTGCCACTGCACTCTGGCCTGGGTGACAGAGTGAGACCCCATCTCAAAAAAAAAAAAAAATACTTATCTTTGCAAACCAATAAAATCTTAATATTGTTATGTTTCTCTTCAGTTGCCACTCATTCAGCTGAGCAATATTGTAACTTCTTAATAAGCACTACCTTAAACATCTAAGATGAATCTTTCCCCTCCCCCTTTAATTCCAACTCATCTTTCATTTTCATGCTCATTCATTAATCTCCCATTCTTTATCTCTGGGAGCTGCAGTAGTTAAGCAGTAGGGCCTTTTTATATTTTCTGGTCCTTTCCCGTCCCTTTAGTTCTAAGTAAGAAAAATAAGTTCTTTGTTCCTAAGTGGTTTCTAGATTTGATAACAACTTGGTATTTCACTGCAGAAATAGGGAGTTACCTAGAAGGACAGCCATTCATTTTTGCAAAGAGCAATCGCAATACTTTTTCCTTCTGCTCCCAGGTCAAATCTCCAATATCCACATTTCCTTCAATATGTGTCCTAAAGAATTTCAAAGGAAAAAAATGTGAAAAGGAAAAATACGGTCAAATAGGCTTCTCTTCTTTTTAAAAAATATATAATGGGTAAACATAGGATAAATTCCACACCATAATTGAATATTATGAAACAACTACAGGCCAGGCGCGGTGGCTCACACCTGTAATCCCAGCACTTTGGGAGGCCGAGGCGGGTGGATCATCTGAGGTCAGGAGTTCGAGACCAGCCTGGACAATGTGATGAAAGCTCGTCTCTACTAAAAATACAAAAATTAGCTGGGCATGGTGGCAGCTGTCTGTAATCCCAGCTACTCGGGAGGCTGAGGCAGGAGAATCGCTTGAACCCAGGAGGCGGAGGCTGCAGTAAGCTGAGATCGCGCCACTGTGCTCCAGCCTGGGAGAAAAGAGTGAAACTCCGTCTCAAAAAAAAAAAGAAAGAAAAAAAGAAAACTACAAAGCAAACTATCCATCACAAAATCATAAAGTTGATAAGGACAACAATATACTAGCCAATCCGAAATGTTACATATCATAAAGATGAAAATGACAAAAACTTTAACAACATGAAAAAATATTTGTGCTCAGACATTAAGGAAATAAGCAAAGTAGAAAACTCTAAGGAGGCTGGGGACGGTGGCTTACCCAACACTTTGGGAGGCCAAGGCGGGCAGATCACAGGTTAGGAGTTCGAGACCAGCCTGGCCAACATGGTGAAATGCCGTCTCTACTAAATATACAAAAATTAGCTGGGCATGGTGGCAGGCTCCTCTAATCCCAGCTACTCAGGAGGCCGAGGCAGGAGAATCGCTTGAACCTGGGAGATGGGAGGTTGCAGTGAGCCGAGATCACTCCACTGCATTCCAGACTGGGTGACAAAGCAAGACTCCTTCTCAAAAAAAAAAAAAAAAAGAGCCTGGGTGCGGTGGCTCACACCCGTAATCCCAGCACTTTGGGAGGCTGAGGCGGGAGGATCACAAGGTCAGGAGTTCGAGATCAGCCTGACCAAAATGGTGAAACCCCATCTCTACTAAAAATACAAAAATTAGCTGGGCATGGTGGTGGGCACCTGTAATCCCAGCTACTCAGGAGGCTGAGGCAGGAGAATCACTTGAACCTGGGAGGTGGAGGTTGCAGTGAGCTGAGATCGTGCCACTGCACTCCAGCCTTGGCAACAGAGCGAGACTCCGACTCAAAAAAAAAAACAACAAAAAAAACTGTAATGTAACATTATTTATTTAGAGACACAGACAAAGGGAACAAGAAAAAAAAAGTTGTTTAGGCCAGGTGCGGTGGCTCACACCCGTAATCCCAGTAATTTGGGAGGCCAAGGTGGGTGGTTCATGAGGTCAGGAGATCAAGACCATCCTGGCTAACATGGTGAAACGCTGTCTCTACTAAAAATACGAAAATTAGGCTGCGCGCAGTGGTTCACACCTGTAATACTAGCACTTTGGGAGGACGAGGCGGGCGGATCACGAGGTCAGGAGATCAAGACTACCCTGGCTAACATGGTGAAACTCTGTCTCTACTAAAAAATACAAAAAAATTAGCCGGGCATGGTGGCAGGAGCCTGTAGTCCCAGCTATTTGGGAGGCTGAGGCAGGAGAATGGCTTGAACCCTGGAGGCAGATCTTGCAGTGAGCCGAGATTGTGCCACTGCACTCCAGCCTGGGTGACAGAGCGAAGACTCTGTCTCAAAAAAAAGAAAATCAGCCAGACGTGGTGGCATGCACCTGTAGTCCCAGCTCCTCGGGAGGCTGAGGCAGGAGAATCGCTTAAACCCGGGAGGTGGAGGTTGCAGTGAGCCAAGATGGCATCATTGCACTCCAGCCTGGGCGACAGAGTGAGACTCTCTCAAAAAAAAAAAAAAGTTTAGGTTTTGGCCAGGTGCGGTGGCTCACACCTGTAATCCTGGAGCTTTGGGAGGCCAAGGTGGGAGAATACCTTGAGGGCAAGAGTTCAAGACCAGCCTGGGAAATGTAGTGAAACCCTTTTCTCTATAAAAATAATTTTAAAATTAGCCTGGCATGGTGGCACATGCCTGTAGTCCTAGCTACTTGGGGGGCTGAGGTGGGAGGATCGCTTGGGCCCAGTCAAGGCTGCAGTGAGCCATGATGGTGCCACTGCACTCCAACCTGGGCAATAGAGTGAGACCGTCTCAAAAAAATAAAAAAGTCGGCCGGGTGCAGTGGCTCACACCTGTAATCCCAGCACTTTGGGAGGCCGAGGCAGGCAGATCACAAGGTCAGGAGAGCGAGACCTTCTTGGCTGACATGGTGAAACCCCGTCTCTACTAAAAATACAAAAATTAGCCGGGCATGGTGGCACGCACCTGTAATCCCAGCTACTTGGGAGGCTGAGGCAGGAGAATCGCTTGAACCCGGAAGTCAGAGGATGCAGTGAGCCAAGATCGCCACTGCACTCCAGCCTGGCGACAGAGTGAGATTCCATCTCAAAAAAATAAATTAATTAATTAAATTAAAAAGTCTAGGTTTTGTCTTATGATTACCATATACTTCATTTTTTAAAAAATTTATTTTATTTATTATTATTTTTTGAGACTAGGTCTCACTGTGTTGCCAGGCTGGAGTGCAGTGGCATCATCATGGCTCACTGCAGCCATGGCTCACTGCAGCCATGGCTCACTGCAGCCTCGAACTCCTGGGCTCAAGCAATCCTCCCACCTCAGCCTCCCGAGTAGATGGGACTACAGATGCACACCATCATGCCAGGCTACTTTTTGTTTTGTTTTTTGTAGAGGTGGGGTCTCACTGTGTTGCCCAGGCTGGTCTTTAACTACTGGACTCAAATGATCCTCTTGCCTCAGCCTCCCAAAGTGCTGGAATTACAGGCATGAGCCACCACACCCAGCCGATTACCATATACTTCAACTGTCCTTTTCCAATCTACCATTTAAATAGATGATGTAATTTTTTTTTTTTTGAGATGGAGTCTTGCTCTGTTGCCCAGGCTGGAGTGCAGTGGCACAATCTTGGCTCACTGCAACCTCTGCCACCCAGGTTCAAGTGATTCTCCTGCCTCAGCCTCCTGAGTAGCTGGGATTACAGGTGTGTGCCATCATGCCTGGCTAATTTTTGTATTTTTAGTAGAGACGGGGTTTCAGCAACTTGGCCAGGCTGGTCTTGAACTCCTGACCTCTTGATCCACCTGTCTCAACCTCCCAAAGTGCTGGGATTACAGGCGTGAGCCACTGCGCCCAGCCCGATGATGTAATATGTTAACCACCATTTCTGCCCTGCTGATAGAGGCAATAGGACACTAAGGCTAAAGTGTTAAGGTGGTCAGTAGCAAAAATGTCACATAGAACACAGAATAGGAAGAGTCCAGTTACTGCAGTAACAATGTAGACAATCATTTAACTTCCTCTGAAAATGTATAACACTTACTATTTCGTAAACAAAAGGATATAAAGAAAACTGCCTTATATATGGTAGGGACTCAACTTATTTGATGTATTAAATAAAAAAGAGAAATTACAGCAAATCTCTTGGTAACAGTAGTAGTATTACAGATTTCTGAATATGACAAGAAGTAAATTATAGTTTAGGCATTTTGAAGAAGAATCTTATCTATCAGAGACTACTGAGCATGTCCAACCTTCTCAACAGCCATATAATTCAAAACAACCTATAAAATTAGTCCTTTAAAAATAATTTAAAGCAAAAAACACATTTGGAAGATGTTAGGCTGGGCATGGTGGCTCGTGCCTGTAATCCCAGCGCTTTGTGAGGCTGAGGCAGGAGGATCACTTGAGCCCAGGAGTTCCAGGCTGCAGTCCTTTTAAGTTTCTTGAGTTAGGGCCTTTGAAGAATCTAATTGCATTGGAATATAAAATAATTTTCTTTCAGAATAACCCTCAAAATGGACTATAATTTAATCCATGGTTTATAGGGAGGAGACTGCTCTAAGAAACAAAAATGCTAATAGGAAACAAAGTTAATCATTATGTAATATATAGTCTGCAACTGTCTCAAACATTCTGTTACCTTTATCATAGTGGCAGCAGATCTCTAAAATTTTGGAAAATTTTGGGGGACTTTTGGTTAATACAATGCTGGGGGCACTACTGATTGTCCTCCAATCCATGGGACAGTTCTCTATAACAAAGAATTGTTACAAATAATTGTTTTGGTTTTTTGTTTGTTTGTTTTTTTGAAACAGGGTCTCACTCTGTTGCCCAGGCTGGAGTGCAGTGATGCAATCTTGGCTCACTGCAACCTCTGCCTCCTGGGTTCAAGCGATTCTTGTGCCTACTGAGTAGCTGGGACTACAGACCCCCGCCACCACGCCCAGCTAATTTTTGTTTTTTGTTTTGTTTTTTTGAGACAGTGTTTTGCTCTTGTCACCCAGGCTGGAGTGCAATGGCGTGATCTTGGCTCATTGAAACCTCCATCTCCTGGATTCAAATGATTCTCCTGCCTCAGCCTCCCAAGTAGCTAGGATTACAGGAATGTGCCACCATGCCCAGCTAATTTTTGTATTTTTAGTAGAGACAGGGTTTCACCATGTTGGTCAGGCTGGTCTCGAACTCCTGACCTCAGGCGATCCACCCTCCTCGGCCTCCCAAAGTGCTGGGATTACAGGTATGAGCCACCACACCCAGCCTAATTTTTGTATTTTTAGTGGGACAGGGTTTCACCATGTTGGCCAGGCTGGTCTTGAACTCCTGGCCTTAAGTGATCCATCCGACTTGGCCTCCCAAAGTGCTGGGATTACAGGTGTAAGCCACCATGCCTGGCCTACAAATAATTGTTATATTGATTTTTTTTTAATTATATGGTTGGATAGATATTATCACCTATGAATTTCATCTCAGGATAGTAAACGGTACAAAATATTTCTGAAAGTATGCGTATCAAAAATGTTTAACCTGGATTGGTGCAGTGGCTCACGCCTGTAATTCCACCACTTTGAGAGGCTGAGGCAGGAGGATCACTTGAGGCCAGGAGTTCAAGACCAGCCTGGGCAACGTAGTGAGACCCTGCCTTTAAAAAAACAAAAAAGTTTAACCTGAATCTAATCAGGCTTTTATAACAAATGTCCAATTTATGGGAAACAAAGGAACAAGTGAAAAGATACATAATGACCTTATATATCTTATATAAAAAACAACCTATGGGAAAAATAGTCTCCTTAACAAGACTTCTATCATGAGACAGAGGGGAATATACTAAGAATACGTCCAAAGCCCCACATGCTATGCTAAGCCTAGAGATTACAAAGATGAATAAGTCAGTTCCTGTCCTCAAGTAACCTACTGAGAAATCTATTCAATACTTGAATATTATAAAACTAAACTTTTCAGACTTCCTCTTTCTGTAAAGGACACAAAAATAGCAGCAAAAAGATAATAATAAAGTATTGCTAGTACCATTTTTCGGCCTCCAGAAGATCCTGATTCACACTATTGGTGCTGTGCTCTCTGCCATCAAATGTTCTGATTTTGGGATATTCTGTTCTTCCTGTACATGCTGCTCTCATTTTTAAATTGAAAGCAGCTTGTGCTATCTGCTTATAATGCTTCCTGCTAATTAGGATCTGTTGCTTCACTTGGTGCAGAGCATCTAAAAAGAATCTTTCCACTTCTGTTCTCTCATCCAGTATGTTCTTGGCCAGCTTCTTCACACGATTCATTTCCCTGTCCTTCATCTGAAGAAGGTGCTGCAGCTTGTCAATTTCTACCTGACCTGCTTGGTTCTCTATCATTGCGTGTTGCTGCAGTTTTAAAACTTCACTCTCAAACTCTTTGGTCATGTAACTCAGAGCAGTCTCCAAGTTTACTACCTTCTTCTGAAGGGTTTGGATTTGTGATCTCTGCTGGACAAGTTGCATAATCTTTTCCTTAACCAACAGATCATTGATCTCCTAAAAACAGAAAGATGAGAGGTGATTTTTTTTTTCTTTTGAGATGGAATCTTGCTCTGTCGCCCAGGCTGGAGGGCAGTGGCACAATCTCAGCTCACTGCAACCTCCATCTCCTGGGTTCAAGCAATTCTCCTACCTCAGGCTCCTGAGTAGCTGGGATTACAGGTGCCCATCACCACGCCCAGCTAATTTTTGCAATTTTAGTAGAGACAGGGTTTCACCATGTTTGCCAGGCTGGTCTCGAATTCCTGACCTCAGGTGATCTGCCTGCCTCAGCCAGCATAACAGGCGTGAGCCACTGCGCCCGGCTGATTTTTTTTTTAATCATTCCAGAACTTAGGAAGTTCCTTACTAATTTCCATTACTTCATGAGATTTAAGTTTTATGCCAAGCTGAGGTGATATTTTGGTATTCTATATAGAGAGTAACAAACATCCTAGGGTCCTTGTCTGGACTTGGGAAGGCAATCTACTAATTATGAATTGTGCTAATTAAGAAACTTTCTTGCAGCCATGAAAAAGAATGAAGGGCTGAGCATGGTGGCTCATGCCTGTAATCCTGGAGCTTTGGGAGGCCAAGGTGGGTGGATCACCTGAGGTCAGGAGTTCGAGATCAGCCTGGCCAACATAGCAAAACCCTGTCTCTACTAAAAAATGCAAAAATTAGCTGGCCGTGGTGGTGCATGCCTGTAGTCCCAGCTACTCAGGAGGCTGGGTCAGGAGAATCACTTGAACCCAGGAGGTAAAGGTTGCAGTGAGCCAAGATCATGCCACTGCATTCTAGCCTGGGTGAGAGTGAGACTCCGTCTTTCTCTCTCTCTCTATAACTATATAGTAAAACATTAATAACTATATTGGAAACTATGGCATCTCCTTGTTGCCTATCCCAATATCTATTTTCCCTTTCCCTTTCCTCCATAGTAATAAAACCCCAACTTCATTCAGAAAGGCAGTTAAGTCCAGCTGAAAATTCCCAGTCTCCCTTGAAGTTCAGCATAACCATTTTCTAGTCAATGATATGTAAATAGAAATGTGTGTAGGACTTCCAGAAAGACCTCTTAAACGAGAGGCACACTTTTTTCTTTTTTTCTTCCTTCCTGCTATTTAAAGGAATGGTTAGAGCTCCAGCAGCGCCCCCCAGGCTGTGAGGTGAGTTTGAGGATGTAAGCCAAGTGTTGCAGAGCAAAGTTAAGGAAGCTGAGTGTCTATTAACTTTGTGGCACTACCATTCCTGCTGTGGATTGCTTACCTCCAGGCCTCCTTTAGGTGAAAGAATAAACCCTTGTGTGGTGATGCCACTGATGTCAGGACTGTTACTCACCGCTAAATGTATTCCTAAGTGACTCAGGGACCAACTCTAAGCAAAGAAAAATGAATATTCTAAGGTAGTAGAGGATAAGGGTCATATTTATGTTTCTGATATATTCTTTATAAGTTGAGTCTAATGCTTCTTATAAGCATTATAAGATTGAGTATTTAACCTTTTCAGATAAAAAAAGTGCATCATCCAGACAGATGAAAATGGTCTCATTGTCCTTATATATCATTATTATACCCAATTTTTGGTATTTACCAACCCAATCCTTAAATAAAGAAAAGAAGGACACCAAGTCTAAATGAGAGGGAACCTTTTGATGTAAAAGTAAAGTATGACTCTCTTGCAACTTCTGGGAGTTTTTTTGTAGAGCGTCAGTTTCCTTCAGGTGATATGCCAGAGCTTTCTGAAGATAATCATTCTCTTTAAAAACATTTCTTCCAGCATCGTTCAATTGCCTGAAATAGATATAAGATCTCAAAACACAGGTCTAACTTTTAGATATCGCCAAAATAGAAAAATGATTGCTTCACCACCTGCACCCCCAATATTATCAATAGTGACTACCACCTATTTAGCTTATGGTGGGTACTCAGTAGTTATGTGGGAATCTTGTAATTAAGTTTTCACCCAATAAAAAAGTGAAAATGGCTGAATGCAGTGGCTCACATCTATAATCCCAGCACTTTGAGAGGCTGAGACGGGAGGATCACTTGAGCCTAGGAATTTGGGACCAGCCTAGGCAACATAGTGAGACCCAATCTCTACAGAAAATCTAAAAAATTAGCCAGACGTGGTGGTTTGCACCTGTAGTCTGTCGCAGCTACTCAGGAAGCTGAGGAAGGAGAACCACTTGAGCCCAAGAAGTCAAGGCTACAGCAGTGAGCCATGATTGTACCACTGCACTCCAGCCTGGGTGACAGAGCGAGACCCTGTCTCAAAAATAAATAAATAAATAAATAAATAAATAAATAAATAAAGTGAAAAAGGACGGGTTACTTCTAGTGCAAGGCAGTTAAGAGCAGGTATGAGTCTCCCATGCTCTTTCCTGTCCACATGACTAGACGTGAAAAACTCCAACACGGCAGAGGTGCAAGAAGGAAGCAGCCAGGTTCCTGAATCATCCCTGGAGGAGAGCTGCCAGACCCATACAGGATTGTTCGATGAACAAGAAATAAACCATTAAGACCTGAGAGTTAGATGTACTTCCACTAATATACCTCATGACAACCCTGCAAGATTGCTACTATTAGCCATGGTTTTACTATTTATTTATTTTTATAAACTCAGATTACTGGAAGAAGTAAATTAGCCCTACTTTTAGTTGAAGAAATTTAACTTCAAGAAAGTTAAGAAATGTGGCTTGGTACAGTGACTCACATCTGTAATCCCAACACTTGGGAAGCCCGAGGCGGGTGGATTGCTTGAGCCCCGGAGTTCGAGACCAGCCCGGGCAAAACCCAGTCTCTACAAAAAATACAAAAATTAGCTGGGCGTGGTGGCACATGCCTGTAGTCCCAGCTACTCTGGAGGCTGACGTGAGAGGATCACTTGAGCCCAGGCAGTGGAGGATGCAGTGAACCATGATGATGCCAATGTACTCCAGCCTGGGTGACAGAGCCAGACCCTGTCTCAAAAACAAAGAATCAAACAAAAAGGTAAGAAATCTTCCTACGGTTAGTTAGTATACATGTTGAGAACCAAAGTCAAGTGCAGGCTGGGCACGGTGGCTCATGCCTATAATCCCAGCACTTTGGAAGGTTGAGGTGGGTGGATAACTTGAGGTCAGGAGTTCGAGATCAGCCCGGCCAACATGGCGAAACCCTGTCTCTACTAAAAATACAACAATTAGCCAGGTGTGGTGGTGGGTGCCTGTAATCCCAGCTACTCAGGAGGCTGAGACATGAGAATCGCCTGAACTCGGGAGGCAGAGGTTGCAGTGAGCCAAGCTCATGCCGCTGCACTCCAGCCTGGATAGCCTGGATGACAGAACAAGACTCCATCTCAAAAAATAAATCAATAAATAAGTAAGTTCAAAGCCCAGGATCTTTCCACCACACAATGCTGCCACAGAAAGAGTAGAGGAAAAAGGGGTGGGAGTATACAAAGAGAAAGAAACAGGGAGGGACAGTAGACCAGAAAATTTGAAGCAAGTAAGCCAGAACAGAAGGGGGAAGACAAGAAAGTAAGAAGAAAAGAGACCAGCAAAGAGGTAAGAGAGGTAATCAGAGTCAGAAAGTAGGCAGCAGTCTCTTACACAATAGCCTCATGGTGGGCTCTCTCTGCTAGCATTATTATCTTCTTTTCAGCCTCTTGTTCTAGTCGGTGCTAAAAAAGAAAATGGGCTGCTTAAATAATTATGCCCCTAACAACAAATTTTACTCATCAAAAGATATTTATTTTAGAATGTCAAATAAAAAACTCCTGTCCCCATGACCTGAAAGAACTCCAAGCACTGGTGGAGAAGCTGACAAAGAGGACAGTGTGAACACAGGAACCTTAGGGTTCCTCCCCATTTTCCCACTTAAGGAAGCAATATGACATATAAATAGGGGAGAAAATTCAATTCCATGTTGGAAAGCAGAATGAGGAGGAATTTCTGCTAAATGCACTGAAATGAGAGTCATTCATTTATTCATTCAGGAATGGTAGCCCTCAGGACTAGGCTGTTCTCAGTAGCCTCTCCCTCTACTCCACCCTAATCTTGATCTCTTTTTTACTTGGTGTAGAAAATAAAAATTAGAAGTGCTTGGTCAGTCTAAAAATTACTATGAGCATTGTCCGGGCGCGGTGGCTCACGCCTGTAATCCCAACATTTTGGGAGGCTGAGGTGGGTGGATGACCTGAGGTCAGGAGTTCAAGACCAGCCTGACCAACATGGAGAAACCCCAGCTCTACTAAAAATACAAAATTAGCCCAGTGTGGTGGCACATGCCTGTAATCCCAGCTTCTCGGTAGGCTGAGGCAGGAGAATCACTTGAACCCGGGAGGCAGAGTTTGTGGTAAGCCAAGATCGCGCCATTGCACTCCAGATGGGCAACAAGAGTGAAACTCCATCTCAAGAAAATAAATAAATAAAAAATAATACTATGAGCATTAATAATTACCAGACTGTTTTAGATACTGAAATTCTGTAGTGAACAAAACAGACAAGGTCCCTGATCTCATGAAGCTTATATTCTAGGGTGAAATCTAAACAATAAGCAATAATTATCATGTTTTGAGCATTTACTATGTGCCAGGAACAGTTCTAAGAATGTTACATGTATCATTTATTTGTCACAGCAACCCTATTATATAGATACTACTATTATGCCCAAAAGCAGGGACTGAGGAAACAGAAACAGAAAGGTTGGCCGGGCCTGCTCGCTCATGTTTGTAATCCTAGCACTTTGGGAGGCCAAGGCGGGATGACTGGAGCTCAGGAGTTCAAGCCCAGCTGAACAACATAGGGAGACCCCATCTCTGGGAGTATCCCTCTGTTGCCCAGGCTAGAGTACAGTGGCGTGATCTCAGCTCACTGCAACCTCTGCCTCCTGGGTTCAATCGATTCTTTCACCTCAGCCTCTCGAGTACCTGGGATTACAGGCACCTACCATCATGCCCAGCTAATTTTTGTATTTTTGTAGAGACGGGGTTTCACCATGTTGGCCAGGCTGGTCTTGAATTCCTGACCTCAGGTGATCCACCCGCCTCAGCCTCCCAAAGTGCTGGGATTACAGGCATGAACCACCGCGCCTGGCCAAAAAAAATTTTTTTTAATTCGGCATGGTGGTGTGCACCTGTGGTCCCAGCTACTCAGAAGACTGAGCCAGGAGGATTGTATGAGACTGGGAGGTAGAGGCTGCAGTGAGCCATGGTTGTGCCACTGCACTCCAGCCTGGGTGACTCTGTTTAAAAAAAAAAAAAAAAGAGAAGAGGTTGGTGACTTGCCCAAAGTCACAAAGCTAGTAAGTGGCAGAGCAGGGATTTATATGCAGGCAATCTGATGCTATACAGTCCCCTAACAAGTAAACAAATAAAAAGAATTAATAGACTGTGATAAATGCTATCAGTGAAATAAATGGGGTAATAAGGTAGATAGTAACTAGAGGAGGTCGTTTTATTATTTATTTATTTATTTATTTTATTATTATTGTTTTGAGACAGAGTCTCACTCTGTCACCCAGGCTGGAGTGCAGTGGCATGATCTCGGCTCACTGCAACATCTGTCTCCCGAGTTCAGGTGATTCTCATGTCTCAGCCTCCCAAGTAGCTGGGACTACAGGTGTGCACCACCATGCCCAGCTAATTTTTGTATTTTTAGTACAGACAGGGTTTCACTATGTTGGCCAGGCTGGTCTCAAACTCCTCTCCTCAAGTGATCCGCCGGCCTTGGCCTCCCAAAGTGCTGGGATTATAGGCGTGAGCCACCGTGCCCAGCCTCATTTTAGATTGGAGTTTAGGAAATCTCTCTCTAAAGAAATGATATCTGAGCTCTAAATAAGAATGATCCAGAGCTGGAGGAACAGCATTCCAGAAGGAGGGACTAGCAATATAAAAATATGGATGTAGAGGCCAGGAGTGGTGGCTCACACCTGTAATCCCAGCACTTTGGGAGGCCGAAGCGGGCAGGTCACCTGAGGTCAGGAGTTCGAGACCAGCCTGGTCAACATGGTGAAACCCTGTCTCTACTAAAAATACAAAAATTAGCTACTCAGGAGGCTGAGGCAGGAGAACCAGTTGAACCCAGGAGGCAGAGGTTGCAGTGAGCCGAGATCATGCCACTGCACTCCAACCTAGGTGACAAAGTGAGACTCTGTCTTTTTTTTTTTTTTTTTTTTTTTTTTTTGAGACGGAGTCTCGCTCTGTTGCCCAGGCCGGACTGCGGACTGCAGTGGCGCAATCTCGGCTCACTGCAAGCTCCGCTTCCCGGGTTCACGCCATTCTCCTGCCTCAGCCTCCCGAGTAGCTGGGACTACAGGCGCCCGCCACCGCGCCCGGCTAATTTTTTGTATTTTTAGTAGAGACGGGGTTTCACCTTGTTAGCCAGGATGGTCTCGATCTCCTGACCTCATGATCCACCCGCCTCGGCCTCCCAAAGTGCTGGGATTACAGGCGTGAGCCACCGCGCCTGGCCGACTCTGTCTTAAAAAATATATATATATAAATGTAGGACAGGGCTTTGTGATTCAAAGAATAGAAAGAAATAAATGGGAAAATCAAACCAAACACCAATGATCTGGGAAATCCTTTATATGGCCGGCTGGGGCATGCTGAGGTATAAAGTAAATGAACAGGCCGATTGGAAAGCCCAATGCCATGAAGCTGCAGCACCGGGGCTCAAACCAGCACAGGAGAAATATCCATGAAGTTTGTACCTAACATGGAGAGGCAGACCCTGCTGTGATGTCCAAACCAACATTCATTCCCATCCTTCTTTTTCCTCCCTAGCTTCCACTAATGGCGAGGAAAACAAACATTCACTTTCCCAGTAGTGTGTGTGTGTGTGTGTGTGTGTGTGTGTGTCTGTGTGTGTGTGTGTATAAGAGAGAGAGAGAGAAACAGAGCGAGAGAGAGAAAGAGGAAGAGAGAGAGAGAAGGACAGGGTCTTACTCTGTCATCCAGGCTGGAATACAGTGACACAATCATGGCTCACTGCAGCCCCGAATTCCTGGGCTCAAGCAATCCTTGAGCCTCAGTCTCCAGAGTAGGTGGGAGAACAGTGTGTGCCGCCCAGCATTCTTTATAACATGGTTCTGGTCAGTGAGATGTAAGATGAAATGTGCTAACAGCTTCTGGGAAAGTTGTTATGGCTTCCAGATAAAAGGGACAGACACAGCTGGAGCCTCCCTTCTTGTCTTGAACACAGAGCTTCAAACTGCAGTTAACTACCTTGTAACCATGAAGGAAAGGCCAGCAGCCATCTGCTCTCATATATAAAAATCCTATTTACATAAGCACTGTTACTCGGGTATTCTGTAAACTGACCAACTCTTTCTAACCTTTATTTTCTACACCAAGTAGAAAAGAGATCAAGATTAGGGTGGAATAGGAGAGGCTCCTGAGAACAGCCTATTCCTGAGGGCTTCCATTCCTGACAGTGCCAGGGAGGGTCTCAGAGGGAAAGCACCAGGGTGCTGCTCTTGCCTCATTTCCTCCAGGTTATTCCATACACAAACTGGAACCTAGAGCCACTTTCTATAGCAATTCCTTTTATCTAAACCCCATAGGAGCAAGGCATGGTAGCTCATGCCTGTGATCCCAACACTTTGGGAGGTCAAGGCAGAAGGATTGCTGGAGCCCAGGAGTTCGAGACCAGCAACATAATGAGACCCCATTTCAGTTTTGTTGTTGTTGTTGTTGTTGTTTGAGACAGAGTCTCACTTTATCACCCAGGATGGAGGGCAGTGGAGCAGTCTTGGCTCACTGCAACCACTGCCTCCTGGGTTCAAGCAATTCTCCCGTCTCAGCCTCCTGAGTAGCTGGGATTACAGGTGCACACCACCATGCCTGGCTAATTTTTGTATTTTTAGTAGAGATGGGGTTTCACCATGTTGGCCAGGCTGGTCTCAAACTTCTGGCCTCAAGTGATCCGCCCACCTTGGCCTACCAAAGTGCTGGGATTACAGGAGTGAACCACCACACCAGGCCCAGCAAGACCCCATTTCTACAAAAAATAAAAATTAGCTAGGTGTGATGATATATGCCTGTAGCCCCAACTACTTAGGAGGCTGAGGTAGGAGGATTGCTTGAATCCAGGAGGTGGAGGTCAAGGCTGCAGTGAGCTGTGACTGAACCACTGCACTCCAGCCTGGGCGACAGACAAGACCCTGTCTCAAATAAACAAGCAATCAAACAAAACCTCATTTGCCCCACCCTCAAGTGCCTACATTCCTACCAATTTCTGAAAGAATCTATTTAATTATTCCCTAAGAATAAAAAGTTAAAGAAAGGATTAAAATAAAGAACAACCATGAGGCCTCTGAAAGGATTCTGTAGAAGTGTTCCAGTGTACTTCCCACAATTTGGAGAGTTAACTTCAGAAACACAGAAATTAAGTTGGAGTTGGAAGCTGTGTTGTGCTAAGGAACTTTTTTTTATTTGAGAAGGAGTCTTGCTCTACCACCCAGGATGGAGTGCAGTGGTGCAATATCGCCTCACTGCAACCTCTGCCTCCTGAGTTCAAGCAATTCTTCTGCCTCAGCCTCCTGAGTAGCTGGGACTACAGGCATGTGCCACCATGCCCGGCTGATTTTTGTATTTTTGTAGAGATAGGGTCAGGCTGGTCTCGAACTCCTGACCTGAGACGATCCACCTGCCTCGGCCTCCCAAAGTGCTGGGATTACAGGCGTGAGCCACCGTGCCCAGCCTAAGCAACATTTTTTATTAACATCTTTAGCTCGGCTTGACTAAGGAAACATCTTTGCACACATACGAGAGTGATTTCTCCACTCCCATCTTCCCTATATAATGGGAGTACACATAGCTTTAGTCTCACCAGGGGAGTATCAAGCTGAGGGAGACATGTCCCAAAGCCTTCAGAAGAGGACAAGAATCTCTGAATGAGAGAGAAAACAAGGACTAGATATTGAGATTTCTAGAAGGTTTTATTTTCCCTCATTGTATTGTGCTATAATTTGGTAACAATCTTCTAATCTTCTATTAAGATACCAAATGGAAGGCTGATGTTTCAGAATGCATATAAATACACTTATGTTCTAGTAAACAAAACATTTTAAATTAACCCTAATAATCTGTACCTTTTCTTCAAAAAATCTGCTTTCCAGTCTTCTAAGAGTCTCCTGATGTATCCGCTCTGTGTTTCTTAAATTCTCTTTCAGCTAAAATTAAAATAACAAACAAACAAAAATGATCAATAGAAAATGGGGGTCATTGAGCACATTCTCAGAAAATTATCAATAAGGAAATGCTTTCTGTTATATGTTACCTCTTAATCCTGAACACACAGAAAAAATCTGTGTTCCTGCCTCCGAGTACCAAATTTCCCTCAATCTTCTACAGATTGATAACATTAGTACAGTAGTCCTCCTTATGTGCAGTTTCACTTTTTGCAGTTTCAGATAACTGCAGTCAATGATTTTTCAAAAATATTAAGAGGCTGAGCACGGTGGCTCACACCTGTAATCCCAGCACTTTGGGAGGCTAAGGTGGGTAGATAGCTTGAAGAAGTTTGAGACCAGCCTGGGCAACATGGCCAAACCCTGTCTCTACAAAAAATACAAAAATTAGCTGAGTGTGGTGGTGCACACCTGTAGTTCCAGCTACTCCAGAACTAAGGCTGAGGTGGGAGGATCACTTGGGCCCAAGAGGCAGAGACTGCAGTGAGCCCACATTGCTCCAGCCTGGGCAACAGAGCGAGACTAGTCTCAAAAAATATATATATATATGTTTTGGAAGAGAGAGAGACAACATTAACAAGACTTTAAAAATTAGTATCAACATACAAGTTTATAGAAATATGTACTATCCTACTATCCCATTGTATGTGGAGATGGATTTTTCATCTACCATTAGACTCCCTCAAAAATCTATAAATTAATAAAGCTTTCAAAAGGTAAGTAGGCAGCACACACCACAAACCTTTAAAAGTTCATGTTCATTAACCCATAAATTCTACTAAGAAGTTATCCTAAAAACTAAAGGTAGAGGTTGGGTACAGTGGCTCATGCCTGTAATCCCAGTACTTTGGGAGGCCGAGGCGGGTGGATGACCTGAGATCCAGGAGTTCCAGACCAGCCTGACCAACATGGTGAAACCCCCGTCTCTACTAAATACAAAAAAAAAAAAAATTAGCCAGGCGTGATGCCACATGCCTGTAATCCCAGCTACTTGGGACGCTGAGGCAGGAGAATTGCTTGAACCCAGGAGGCAGAAGTTGCAGTAAGCCGAGATTGCATCATTGCACTCCAACCTGGGCAACAAAAGTGAAACTCCGTCTCAAAAAAACAAAAACAAAACTAAAGATATAGAAAAAGATTTCATTCCTTAGATGATCCCCACAGTTTATAATAGTGAAAAATTAGGAAAAAGTCCAAATGTCCAACAGCAAGCAACCAATTAATAAATTAAGATATATCTACCCAATGGAATTCCGTGCATCTATTGAAAAAATGTTATAGAAAATATTTAATGGCATTGAAAAATGTTCACAATATATAAAGTGAAAAATCAGGTTAACAATTTATATCATGACTTCACTTTTGTAAAAATAACATATAGCTATTTTTAGAAGTTTCTACAGCAAAGGAAAAAAGAAACTATACAATCGTTACATAGTGTAATTGTAAGGGATGGATCATTTTTATTTTCTAATTTTATCAGCCAAGCTAAATTTGCTGTGATGAGTATTATCATTTTGTCAAAAGAAGACTAAAACTATTTAAAAAATAATAACTGCAATCTAACAATATATGCAATATATGCTTCTTTGGTTAATCGGGTATATGGAAAACATTTTTTTCTTTTTCATTTCTTTCTTCTTTTTTTCTTTTTTTGGAGACAGGATCTGGCTCTGTTTCCCAGGCTGGAGTGAAGTGATTTTTTTGTAGAGATGGTGTTCTGCCACGTTGCCTAGGCTGGTCTTGAACTCCTGGGCTCAAGCATTCTACCCACCTTAGCCTCTCAAAGTGCTGTTATCACAGGCATGAGCCACTGTGCCCAGCCAGAAATAATTTTTTTCTTTAAAACATACACTTTGAATACCTTTTGAGAATCTCAATTTAGTTTTCTTTGTAATTTGTATAATGAATTCTACATACACAGTATAATTAATTTTCTTTCCTAATGTATACCTCCTAATTTAAAATTCATGGACCCTCACACCTGCCACAATTCTGCCACATTTGGGATTCCACAGAACCACCTTATTCGTTCCCATAAGCCAATATCTTTTGAATTTTAAGTCTTCCTCAAAGGCCCACTTTGAAAGGTCTGAAATCTATTTCTCCACTAGGTGGCAACACTGTTCTTTAAAAAAATTACAACATGGGCTACTTGAATATGCACTAGTTCTTAATTCATTTGAATTCAGAATGTATACCTGTACATAGGCTATTTTAAGAGTTCATGAAAAGTTAATTATGTTGATTCAATCTACAGCATTTTCATATAAAACATAACTTGTATTCCTTCCAGAAAAGTTGACATTCCTTATGTTTTTAACAAAAGACCCGCTCAGCATTTAGCAAAGATTAATTCAACATTACTATGTATCTTGTATTTCAATGAATACAAAGGACAACACTGTTCACACCTCAAGTGAGTGCAATCTATTAGGGGAGATAAGATAAATGATAAATAAATATAATATCAAGACAATATCTTTAGGTATATAAAAAGACAAGATAAAAAAGACAGAATGGGGTATAAAAAAGATAGAAAATGCTATGGGAACATACAGAAAAGAAAATTATTCCTTTTTTTTTTTTTTGAAACAGAGTTTCGCTCTTGTTGCCCAGGCCAGAGTGCAATGGCACGATCTCAGCTCACTGCAACCTCCGCCTCCCAGGTTCAAGCGATTCTCCTGCCTCAGCCTCCCGAGTAGCTGGGATTACAGGCATGTGCCACACCAGGCCCAGGTAATTTTGTATTTTTAGTAGAGACAGGGCTTCTCCATGTTGGTCAGGCTGGTCTTGAACTCCCGACCTCAGGTCATCCGCCTGCCTCGGCCTCCCAAAGTGCTGGTATTACAGGCGTGAGCCACCATGCCTGGCCGAAAATTATTACTTTTAAACAGGACTCCAGGAGAAGACCTCATGGAGAACACGAATTTGAGCTGAGCCTTTGAAAGACAGGTGGCTGGGCATGGTGGCTCATGCCTGTAAGCCTAGCACTTTGTGAGGCCCAGGCAGGCAGACTGCTTGAGCCCAGGAGTTCGAGACCAGCCTGGGCAACAGTGAAACCCCATCTCAAAAAAAAAAAAAAAATTAGCCAGGTGTGATGGTGCGTGCCTGTAGTCCTAGCTACTCAGGAGCCTGAAATAAGAGGATCACTTGAGCCCAGGGAAGTAGAGGCTGCAGTGAGCCATGACTACACCACTGCACTCCAGCCTGGGTAAAAGAGCGAGACTCTGTCTCAAGAAAAGAAAAAAAAAAAAAAAAAAAAAAAAAAAGAGGCCAGGCGTGGTGGTTCACACCTGTAATCCCAGCACTTTGGGAGGCCGAGGTGGGCAGATCATGACGTCAGGAGATTGAGACTATCCTGGCCAGCATGGTGAAACCCTGTCTCTACTAAAAAATACAAAAAATTAGCCGGGCATGGTGGCACGTGCCTATAGTCCCAGCTACTCAGGAGGCTGAAGCAGGAGAATCGCTTGAACCTGGGAGGCAGAGGTTGCAGTGAGCCAAGATCATACCACTGCACTCCAGCCTGGGCAACAGAGCAAAACTCTGTCTCAAAAAAAAAAAAAAAAAGAAAAAAGAAAAAAAAAAAGATAATATTTTAATGGGCCAAGATCTACCAGGAATATATTTTAGATAAAAGACAGTGTGAACAATGAAACAAAGAGACAAGATTTCAGGGATTAATGAATACTCATTTTGGGTGAATTAAAGGAAGTATGGAGGTGGATGGGTGATGTAGTAAAAGGAGATAATAATGTTCCCAGATAGGTACAGGGTCTTGACTTTCACATTAAGGTGTGTGGACAATATTCTGTTTACAGTGGAGGAACACTAAAGACAGCTTTTTTTTTTTTTTTTTTGAGACAGAGTCTCGCTCTGTCACCCAGGCTGGAGTACAGTGGCATGATCTTGGTTCACTGTTACCTCCGCCTCCCAGGTTCAAGAGATCCTCCTGCCTCAGCCTCTGGAGTAGCTGGGACTACAGGCACATGCCACCATGCCCGACTAATTTTTGGATTTTTTAGTAGAGACAGGGTTTTGCCATGTTGGACAGGATGGTCTCAAACTCCTGACCTCAGGTGATCCACCTGCCTTGGACTCCCAAAGTGCTAGGATTACAGGTGTGAGCCACTGTGCCTCACCGAAAGACAACTCTTGAAGGACGTGATCAGAACTGTGATATTTTAGGCCAGGTGCAGTGGCTCATGCCCACAATCCCAGCACTTTGGGAGGCCGAGGTGGGCAGAGCACCTGAGGCCAGGAGTTCTTGACCAGCCTGGCTAATGTGGCAAAACTTTGTCTCTACTAAAAATACAAAAAATTAGCCTAGCACGGTGGCGTGCGCCTATAGTCCCTGCTACTTGGGAGGCTGAGGCACCAAAATCGCTTGAACCCAGGAGGTGGAGGTTGCAGTGAGCAGAGATCGCGCCACTGCACTCTAGCGTGGGCAATAGAGCAACACTCCATCTCAAAAAAAAAAAGAACTGTGATATTTTAAAAGTATTCCTGTAGCTGTGTATACACTGGACTGCAGTGGTATGGTAGTTTTAAAATGTGTCTATAAGTTCTTTGACACTCTTCTCTTCAAATGATGGTATCTAATTCCCCACTGCTAGGAATGTGGGCCAGACTTAAGGATTCACTTTTAACTATTAATAATAAAATATGGTGGAAGTAATGCTATGTGACTTTGAAGGCTAGGTCATGAAAAAGATAGCTTCTGTCTACATCCCGCTCAGATTACTCACTCTGGGTGAAGTCATCCACCAAGTTATAAGAACACTCAAGCAGCTTATAAAAGGGCCCATATGGGCTGAGCATGGTGGCTCACGCCTATAATCCAAGCACTTTGGGAGGCCGAGGTGGCCAGATCACTTGAGGTCAGGAGTTCCAGACCAGCCTGACCAGCATGGTAAAACCCTGACTCTACTAAAAAAAAAAAAAAAAAAAAAAAAAAAATTAGCTGGGGGTGGTGGTGCACGCCTGTAATCCCAGCTACTCGGGAGGCTGAGGCAGCGAGAATCGCTTGAACCCAGGAGGCAGAGGTTGCAGTGAGCTGAGATCGTGCCACTGCACTCCAGCCTGGGTGATGGAGTAAGACTCTGTCTCAAAAAAAAAAAAAAAAAAAAAGGGCCCATATGAGGAGAGGTCTCCCACTAATCACCAGCACCAACTTAACAGCCACTTGAATGTGCCTCCTTGGAAACAGATCCTCAAGCTCCAATCAAGCCTTAAGATAGATGACTGAAGCCTTTGCTATACTAAAGTATTTCCCCCAGAATCAGCAAATGCTACAAATAAGGACCATTTTTTTTTTACAGAGAGCTGCACACCACTGTTTATATAATTTTTACCATGTGACGTGCTATTTTATGCACTTTACAAATATTAACTCATTTAATCCTATAACAATTCTATGAAATAGTAACTCTTATTTTATTTTACTTTTTTTTTGAGACATGGTCTTACTGTCACCCAGGCTGGAGTGCAGTCGTGCAATCACAGCATACTGCAGCCTCAATCTCTTGGGCTCAAGTGATCCTCCCACCTCAGCCTCCCAAGTTGCTGGGACTATACGCACGAGCCACTGTGCCTGGCTAATTTAAAACATTTTTTTGTAGAGTTGGGATTTCACTATGTTGCCTAGGCTAGTCTTGAACTCCTGGCCTCAAGAGATTATCCTGCCTTGGCCTCCAAAATGCTGGGATTACAGGCATAAGCCACCATGCCTGGCTGAGATACTAACTCTTACTATCCCATTTTACAGATAAGGAAACCAAGGTATGGAAGAGTTAAGTAACTTGCCTATAGTCACAAAGCTGATTTCAGCTACTTGTTCCTGGCACTCCCCTGTGCCACTTATTGAATTATCAGTAATGTAATAAAACTATATTCTAAGCCGAGGAAAGTAAGAGAAAGAGCACAGAAAGGTAACATAAATTTTCTGAAAGTACTCAGTGTTTCTCACCCTACTGACCCCTACCATAGAGCCTTCTAAATTTCTCTAAAACTATCATTCATCAGCCTAAACATTTTTCTTTAGAAGTCTGCTACTTTTTCCCTGAGGTTTTCTAAGAACTTGTAGTTTGTTTCTTACTGAAGTCAATCCAAAGGGTTACCTGCTGATAAACATAGGAGGATGTGTTGTCTGAGATTTGGTGAGTTCCCAAGGAAATCAATGCTTAGAAAAAGAGAAGTCTAAAGTCAAGACCTTTGGCATCCAGTCTGTCTTCTCCTTTTTCTCTCAAATAATTTCTAAAATGTCAAAGAGAGTTCTTTGCCGTCTCACAGGAGTAAATGTTTGTGAAGGCTTCTGTAGGCATTAAATAGTTAATTCTAATTTCCTTTTTGTAAAAAAGGAATGAAACTTACATCATCTAACTCTCTCTCCACTTGGATTTTTCTCTTCTGGAATTGTCTTACTGCTTTCAGCTCTGTGTGAATCATGCCAATTTCTTTGGCTTTTTGATGGAACTGTCCCTCTAGTTCATTAATTTGCCTGGTATACTTTTGTTCCTGTATTCAAAAAAGAGGTAAACGAGTTAGGAAAAAGAACAGAAGTCCCACAAAGTCATGTTTCATTTGAAGCCTTACGCCATTTGCATATCTTCTTTGAAGAAATATCCCCCCTTTTTTCTATTTTTATTTATTTATTTATTTATTTTATTTATTTATTTTGAGATGGAGTCTTGCTCTGTCGCCCAGGCTGGAGTGCGATGGCGCGATCTTGGCTCACGGCAAGCTCCACCTCCCGGGTTCACGCCATTCTCTTGCCTCAGCCTGGGACTACAGGTGCCCGCCACCATGCCTGGCTGATTTTTTTATATTTTTAGTAGAGACGGTGTTTCACCATGTTAGCCAGGATGGTCTCGATCTCCTGACCTCGTGATCCACTCACCTCGGCCTCCCAAAGTGCTGGGATTACAGGCATAAGCCACCGCACCTGGCCTTTATTTTATTATTATTATTTTTTTGAGATGGAGTCTCACTCTGTTGCTCAGGCTGGAGTGTAGTGGCGTGATCTCAGCTCACTGCAACCTCTGCCTCCCAGGTTCAAGCAATTCTCCCTGCCTCAGCCTCCCGCGTAGCTGGGATTACAGATGCCTGCCACCACGCCCAGCTAATTTTTGTATTTTTTAGTAGAGATGGGGTTTCACGATGTTGGCCAGGCTGGTCTTGAACTCCTGACCTCAGGTGATCCACCCGCTTTGGCCTCCCAAAGTACTGGGATTACAGGCATGAGCCACCGCGCCCGGTCCCCCTTTTATTTTTGCATAAAGTTTTCATTTCTGTAAAAAGATACCATCTGCATTGAATAAGAAAAAAATTTTGGAAAAGTTTCTATATAGAAAGGAAAAAATGCAGATGTTTACTAAAAAGGGATATGAGAAGACCTAACACACCTTTTATCTCTGACATAACCCTAATACCCGAAACTAGTTAAAATTAATTGGCTAGGAGTCAAAGGGAGTGTGGTAAATATCCCTAATAAAGAGGAAGGTAGGAGAAAGAAGGAGGATGAGGAAGGAAGAGGAGGGAGAAAAAGGGAAGGAGACATAAAAGACTGAGAGGAAGAGAAGGAGAAAGAGGAGGAGGAGAGGGAAGTGAAAGCAAGAGGACAGAGAAAAGGAAGGGGGGAAGAAGGAAAGGCCAATAACAACAAATGAACAAAAGGTACTAAAAGAAATGCAAATGGCCTTCAAATGTGAAAAAAAAGTCCAATCTAGCTCCTAATAAGAGAAATGTAAATTGGGCCAGACGTGGTGGCTCACACCTGTAATCCCAGCACTTTGGGAGGCTGAGGCGGGTGGATCACGAGGTCAGGAGTTCAAGACCAGCCTGGCCAACATTGTGAAACCCCACTTCTACTAAAAATACAAAAATTAGCCAGGCATGGTGGCACGCACCTGTAATCCCAGCTACTCAGGAGGCTGAGGCAGGAGAATCAATTGAACCTGGGAGGTGGAGGTTGCAGTGAGCTGAGATCACACCATTGCACTCCAGCCTGGGTGACAGAGCAAGACTCCGCCTCAAAAAAAGAAAAAAAAAAAAAAGAGAGAAACGTAAATTGAAAAATACCCATTTCTCACCTATCACATTGCAAAAATCAAGTTTGAGGCCAGGCACAGTAGCTCACACATGTAATCCCAGCACTTTGGGAGGCCAAGGCAGGTGGATCACTTGAGGTCAGGAGTTCAAGACCAGCCTGGCCAACATGGTGAAACCCTGTCTCTACTAAAAATACAAAAGTTAGCCAGGTGTGGTGGCAGGTGCCTGTAATCCCAGCTACTTGGGAGGCTGAGGCAGGAGAATCGCTTGAACCCGGGAGGCGGAAGTTGCAGTCAGCCGAGATCGTGCCACTGCACTCCAGCCTGGGAGACAAGAGCGAGACTCTGTCTCAAAAAAAAAAAAAAAAAAAAAAAAATCAACTTTGAGAATAGACTCTGTTGGTAAAGCTGTGAGGAAACAGGCAATCTCATGCATGGCTAGTGGTATTACAGAACAGCACAATATCTATAAATGGATATTTGGCAATACCTAGAAAAATTATATATTTTTCTTTGGTCTAGCAATACCACTTACAGTAATCTATCCCAACGATATAATGGCCAAAATGTGAAAAGATACATACATGAAGCTCTTTACTGGCACATTCATTGTAATAGAAAAAGACTGGAAACAACCCAACTATCCATCAAAAAGGGACTGCTATGAGCTGTATGTGTGAACCCAAAAAATCCTATGTTGAAGCCCTAATCCCCAGTGTGATGGTATTTGGAGGTGTGACCTTTGGGAGGTAGTTAGGTTTAGATGAGATCATGAGGGTGGAGCCTCCATGATGGGATTGGTGAAGAAAGAGATGGAAAAACCAGAGCTTTCTCTCTCTGTCAAAAGTAAGGATCCAGCAGGAAGCGGCCATCTGTGAACCAGAAGAATGGCCTCCACCAAGAACTCAACCATGCTAGCACCCTGACCTTCTAGCCTCCAGAATGATGAGAGATACATGTTTGTTGTTTGAGCACCTCAGTCTATGGTATTCTGTCATAATAGCCTGAACTAAGACAGGGACCATTTGAATAAACTATGATATATCCACACAATAATCATCACACAGCTATAAAAGGGAATGATGCCAGGCGTGGTGGCCTACACCTATAATTCCAACACTTTGGGAGGCCAAGCTGGAAGGATCGCTTAAGGCCAGGAGTTCAAGATCAGCCTGGGTAACACAGGGAGACCCCATCTCTACAAAAAATACAAAAATTTGCCAGGTGTAGTGGTACTCGCCTACAGTTCCAGCTACTCCGGAGGCTGGGTGGGAGGATCCCTTGAACCCAATAGTTTGAGGTTACAGTGAGCCATGATTGTGCCACTGCACTCCAGCTTGGGCAACAGAGGGAGACCCTGTCTCAAAAAAAAAAAAGAAAAGAAAAGAAAAAGGGAATGTCTCTACATACTGCTATGGAGTGATCACCAAGGCATACTGTTAAATAAAAAAAGCAGGTGCAGGTTTATGTATATTGCATGCTACCTTTTATCTAAGAAAGATTTTATATATAACCTATATATATAAAATCTCCTTATATATAATCTCTCTCTCTCTATATATATATATATATATGTTTATGACTTTTTTTTAGCTTTTCTGATAAGGAAACAATTTTTTAAGCAACCTTTTTTTTTAAAGAGAGGATAAAACACAAAATAAATAAAATGGTTTTCTACAGGGAGAGGGAGAAGACAGTGTGGAAAAGACATGGATAGGAGTTGGATTTCTCAGCACTTTGGGAGGCCAAGGCGGGCGGATCATGAGGTCAGGAGATCGAGAGACCATCCTGGCTAACACAGTGAAATCCCGTCTCTACTAAAAATACAAAAAATTAGCCGGGCATGATGGTAGGTGCCTGTAGTCCCAGCTACTCGAGAGGCTGAGGCAGGAGAATGGTGTGAACCCAATAGATGGAGCTTGCAGTGAGCAGAGATTGCGCCACTGCACTCCAGCCTGGGCGACAGAGCGAGACTCCATCTAAAAAAAAAAGTTGGATTTCTCGACGTGCAACTTGTTTTACAGACTTTAGAACCATGTAAATATTTTACTTAATTTTATAGGCAAAACTAATTTTTTAAAAAGCAACCTCTAAAAAAATTAAATTAAAAAATAAAAATAAATAAATAAAAAGCAACCTCTAAGTCAGGTGTGGTGGTGTATGCCTGTAGTCTTAGCTACTCGGGAGGCTGAGGCAAGGAGAACTGCTTGAGGTCAGAAGTTGAAGACCAGCCTGGGCAATATAGCAAAACTCCCATATCTAAAAAAATTAAATAAATACAGTAGAATGAAAAAATAAAAAGCAACCTCTAAAAATCAAAAGCAAAATGTGTTGTTGAGTTGGTGGCATAACCTCATAGAAAAGAATTTCAAATGGTTCTTAAGCCTTGCAATTTTATCATAGATCCTTACTGGTATATATCCTAAGGGAGAAAAATGCCCCCCAAAATCTTAAACTGTTTTCAGCAATTTATTTTTGGTGGTAATATTAGCATTCTGAGATTGATATATTGGGGTTTACGCAACTAGGTAATTATATTGGTATCAGTAAGAATAAGGACTTTTGGCAAGGGATAAAGGAGATACAGATAAAGTTAAGTAAAAATTCTATATTCCTGCATGTAAACTGAAAGTATTAGTATAGAGTCATGATCTATTTTAATATTTTAAAAACGTGTATCTCCTAGCTCCATCCACTGAAAAGCATTAGAAACAATAACAAATTCAGTATCAGGAAGCAATCTTAATATTATATGGTTTTTTACAATAACTTATTTTTATAATATGTTGTTTTTAAACTTTTTTTTTTTTTTTGAGATGAAGTTTCACTCTTGTCACCCAGGCTGGAGTGCAATGGTGCGATCTTGGCTCACTGCAACTTCTGCCTCCCAGGTTCAAGCAATTCTCCTGTCTCAGCCTCCCGAGTAGCTGGGATTATAAGCATGCACCACCATGCCTGGCTAATTTTTAAATTTTTAGTAGTGACAAGGTTTCACCATGTTGGCCAGGCTGATCTCGAACTCCTGACCTCAGGTGATCCGCCGCCTCAGCATCCCAAAGTGTTGGGATTACAGGCATGAGCCATCATGCCCAGCCTGGTTTTTTGAATTTCTATACAATCAAGCTTTAAGGTCATTAGCCTGCCCAGAGAACTTACTCACTCACTGTCATTGGGTCTTAAATACCTGAGCTTGCCAGAAACCTGACCATCCAGTAAGTGGAGTATTAGTACACATAGATAACTCACCAATTTATCCTTCTCCTCTTGGGCTTTTTCCTTTGTTTCATTTAATTGCTGTTTCAGTTTTTCAATCTGTTGAAAATCAAAATACAGGGTCATGAAGATAAAGAAACTGCTCTATGTCTACCTTTATTAAGTAGACTAGTTTCACACAATACTAAAACCAATATGGCAAAAGAGGTGAGTGAGGTGGAAAGAGAAGAGGGGACAGGAAATTTCCCATACCTTCAACCTGCTATTGCCAGTTTCTAAAACCTGGCTATCATCAGAAGTACCTGGTCAACTTTTGTGTGTGTGTGTGTGTGTGGTTAAAAATAAAAGCAACATTAATACCAGCCTGACCAACATGGAGAAACCCCTTCTCTACTAAAACTATGAAATTAGCCAGGCGTGGTGGCACATGCCTGTAATCCCAGCTACTCAGGAGGCTGAGGCAGGAGAATCACTTGAACCTGGGAGGCAGAGGTTGCAGTGAGCCGAGATGGCGTCATTGCACTCCAGCCCGGGTGACAGAGCAAGACTCTGTCTAAAAAAAAAAAAAAAATAGAGATGGAGTCTTGCCATGTTGCTCAGGCTGGTCTCAAAGTCATGGGCTCAAGTGATCCCCCTGCCTTGGCCTAAGTGCTGGGATTATAGGTGTGAGCCATAGCGCCTAGCCAAGATGAGTTTCAAGAAGAGTACAAAAAATTCCCATACTATTCACCCATATACATTAATTTTGCCGCATTTGCTTTCCCTCTATTTGTGTGTGTGTGTGTGTGTGTGTGTGTGTGTGTGTGTGTGTGTGTATTTCTTTAGTGGTAAAGGGTAATGTCAATTTCAAGATGACCTTTTACCCCAGAAGACTTCAGTATCTATTTCCTTATTTGTTTTTCTTTCTTTTTTTTGAGACAGAGTCTCACTCTGTCGCCCAGGCTGGACTGCAGTGGTGCAATCTTGGCTCACAGCAACCTATGCCTCCTGGGCTAAAGCAATTCTCCTGCCTCTGCCTCCCAAGTACCTGGGACTATAGGCATGCGCCACCACACTTGGCTAATTTTTTGTATTTTTTGTAGAGACAGGGTTTCACCATGTTGGCCAGGCTGGTCTCGAACTTCTGACCTCAGGTGATCCACCAGCCTCAGCCTCCCAAAGTGCTGGGATTACAGGCATGAGCCACTGTGCCTGGCCTTTCAGTATCTATTTTTGAAGAAAAAGGGCATTCCCTTTTACAAGCACTATAAAATTATAAAGATCAGGAAGTCTAACATTAATATACTACTATGTAATATATACTCTATATTTAAATTCTGCTACAATTATCCCAATAATGTCCTTTATTGCAATTTTTTATTTTTCTTGTCTACAATACAACCCTTGATCATGCGTTGCATTTATCTGTCATGTGTCTTAGTCCCCTTTAATCTGGAACAGTTTCTTGGTCTTTGTTTTTAAATTGACTTTTTAAAAAGAATACTGGCCAGGGTTGGGCTTAGCTGATGCTTCTTCATGAGTAGATTCAGGTTGTATGTTTTTGGTAGGTTATATATAGTACCTAAGTGATGATGTATCCTTTTCAGTACATCACATCATTAGGTGATTGATGCTAATTTTAACCAGTTGGTTAAGGTTGTGTCTGCCCACTTTCTCCACCTAAAAGTTATTATTTTTTCTTCTGTGATTATTAAGTAATTTGTGGTACAATCTTTTGAGACTATGCAATTATCCTCCTCATCAAACTTTCACCCAGTAGGTTTTAGCATCCATTGATGATTCTTGACTGATTCAGTTATTACTGTGATGCCAAATGGTGATTTTTCTAACTCCATCACTCCTTGGAAATTTATTAATTGGCATTCTTCTGCAAAAAAAAAAAAAAAAAAAAAAAAAAGCTGGGCGAGGTGGCTCATGGCTGTAATCCCAACACTTTGGGAAGCTGAGGCGGGTAGATCACCTGAGGTCAGGAGTTCGAGACCAACCTGGCCAGCACAGTGAAACCCCGTCTTTACTACAAACACAAAAATTAGCCAGGCGGGGTGGTGGCACAACTGTAGTCTCAGCTACTCAGGATGCTGAGGCAGGAGAATCCTTTGCAGTGATCCTTTGAGGTTGCAGTGAGCCAAGATCGCACCACTGCACTCCAGCCTGGGTGACAGAGCGAGACTCTGTCTCAAAAAAAAAAAAAAAAAAAAAAGGCTTCCTTTCTCCCTTATTTATTCATGTATGTGTTTATTAGTAGTACACACTCGTGGATTTTTATTTCATTCAATAGGTTATAATCTATTACTGTTGTTATTTATTAGGTCAGTGCAAAAGCAACTGCAGTTTTTGCCATTTTTTTTTTTTCCTTTTGAGATGGAGTCTCACTCTGTCCCTGAGGGTGGAGTGCAGTGGCGCAATCTCAGCTCACTGCAACCTCCACCTCCTGGGTTCAAGCGATTCTCCTGTCTCAGCTTCCTGAGTAGCTGGGATTACAGGTGCACACTACCACACCCGGCTAATTTTTGTATTTTTAGTAGAGACAGGGTTCTGCCATGTTGGCCAGTCTAGTCTTGAACTCCTGACCTCAGGTGATCTGCCCACCTCGGCCTCCCAAAGTTCTGGGATTACAGGTGTGAGCCACTGCACCCAGCCATTTTTGCTATTATTTATTAGGTTGGTGCAAAAGCAATTGTGGTTTTTGCCATTCTTTTAATGCACCAACCTAATATTTTGATTGTCCCAGATTTGGCCAATGGAAGCCCCTTCAAACAAGGCCATGTCCTTTAAAATTTTTTATTTTCTGGCACAATAACATATTCCAGACTCTTTTTTTTTTTTTTTTTTTTTTTTGAGATGGAGTTTCACTCTTGTTGCCCAGGCTGGAGTGCAAAATGGCATGATCTTGGCTCACTGCAACCTCCGCCTCCTGTGTTCAAATGATTCTCCTGCCTCAGCCTCCTGAGTAGCTGGAATTACAGGTGCCCACCACCACACCTGGCTAATTTTTGTATTTTCAGTAGAGATGGGGTTTCGTCATGTTGGCCAGGCTGGTCTCAAACTGCTGACCTCAGTAATCCACCCGCCTTGGACTCCCAAAGTGCTGGGATTACAGGCATGAGCCACCGCCCCCAGTCTCTCTCTTTTTTTTTTTTTTGAGACAGAGTCTCACTCTGTTGCCCAGGCTTGACTGCAGTGGCACAATCTTGGCTCACTGCAACCTCTGCCACCTGGGTTCAAGCAATTCTCGTGCCTCAACCTCCCAAGCAGCTGGGACTGCAGACACGCACCACCATGCCTAGCTAATTCTTTGTATTTCTAGTAGAGATGGGGTTTCACTCTGTTGGCCAGGATGGTCTCAAACTCCTGGCCTCATGTGATGCACCCCCCCCACCCCGCCACTCAGCCTCCCAAAGTGCTGGGATTACAGGCATGGGCCACCATGAACAGCCCAGCCTCATGTTTTATATTCCCTGTTCCAGTCCTGAAATCAACCATTTCTCCAAGGAATGCTGGTTTGTTTTAGAAGGGAATCTGAGTAGCTTTTTAAACTAAAGACTTGTTGACATGGTTGTTGACACAAGTGAGATACTATGTACAATGTTTTAGACCACCTTAGGAAAAAATCTAGATATTCTAAAAAATAAACTGGGACAATCCTAAATCACATAAAACTGGTGTGACATTTAATGAGATTATTCTGTGATTAATTCAGTACAGCATTAAATTCTCTTAAGGGGAATCTCCTAATTTTGTTCATAATAAAATAGTTTTCAAAACACATTTCATTTCTATTATTTCTATAATTAACATGACTATAAACAGTTTAAACAAAGTTTAACAACATAACATTTTTCTAGTATATAGCAAAATGAGTAACAAAACTATGGGAAAGCTAGTTAATGAGGATATATTTAGTCTACTTTGTTTCTTCCTCCCAAGGTTGTTTCTTTTGGTTTAATGGCAATCCATGATTATAAAAATTACCCACCTGTTACTGCCAGATGCTGCCCTTTGATATAAGGAGGCAGATGAGAATCAGGAAGTACAAGTGATACTGATGTAGACCAATAACAATGAGCTATTACAAGCCACAAAACAAAGCATCTAAGTAACACATTTGGAAATTATTTCTATGGTTGACTAAAAAAACTTACTTTAGAACAATACTTTATAGAGGGCAATTTAATAATACCTACTATTAAAAGAGTAATTTTAAAAATAAAAATTGGCCAGGTTTTGTGGCTCATGCATGTAATCCCAACACTTTGGGAGGGTGAGGTGGGCGGATCACTCAAGGCCAGGAGTTCCAGATCAGCCTGGCCAACAACATGCCAAAACCCCGTCCCTACTAAAAATACAAAAAATAAAATAAAATAAAGATAGAAATTTCTGGACCAGGTGCTATTGCTCATGCCTGTAATGTCAGCACTTTGGGAGGCTAAGTTGGGAGGATTTCTTGAGCCCAGGAGTTCGAGGCTAGCCTGGGCGACATGGCGAAATCCCATCTCCACAAAAACTACAAAAAAATCAGCCAGGCATGGTGGCTCATGCTTGCAATCCCAGCACTTTGGGAGGCCAACGCGGGTGGATCACTTGAGCTCAGGAGTTCAAGACCAGCCTGGGCA
The DNA here is from genome assembly GCF_000001405.40 of Homo sapiens. NCBI lineage: Eukaryota > Metazoa > Chordata > Mammalia > Primates > Hominidae > Homo > Homo sapiens. Next base: position 74,024,669 of record NC_000014.9, on the reverse strand, counting down.
ACATGGCGAAACCCTGTCTCTACCAAAAATACAAAAAATTAGCCAGGCATGGAGGTGCGTGCCTGTAGTCCCAGCTACTTGGAAGACTGAGGCAGGAGGATCATCTGAGCCCGGATGTCGATCCTGTGGTGAGCCGTGATCATACCACTGCACTCTAGACCAGGCAATAGAGAGAGACCCTGTCTCAAAAATAATAATAAAGTAATAATAATATGAGACAGAGTTTTGCTCTGATGTCCAGGTTGGACTGCCGTGACATGACCATGGCTCACTGCAGCTTCAACTTCCTGGGCTTAAGTGATCCTCCCGCCTTAGCCTCCCGAGTAGCTGGGACTACAGGTGCACACTGCCACGCCTGGCTATTTTTTACTTTGTGTAGAGACTGGGTCTTGCTTTGTTCCCCAGGCTGGTCCTGAACTCCTAAGCTAAGTTATCCTCCAGCCTCTTCCTCCCAAAGTGTTGGGATTATAGGCATGAGCTACCACACCCAGCCTGAATTTCCACTTTTAACACCCACTAGGGGTGTGACTTTGGGCAAGTTACCTGTCCTTTCTGAAAGTCAATTTCTTCATCTGTAATATGGAAATAACAATATTATAGCTACATGGGGTCATAAAAATAATTAAATAGGAGGTTAGTAAAAGAATCAAGAGAGGTAAAGCACCCAGTATAGTACATTGTAGTGGCTCCAAAATGTTAGTTCCCTTCCCTTTTTCTTTTCTTTTCTTTTTTTTTTTTTTTTTTGAGATGGAGTCTCTCGCTCTGTCGCCCAGGCTGCCAGGCTGGAGTGTAATGGTATGATCTCAGCTCGCTGCAACCTCTGCCTCCCGGGTTCAAGCAATTCTCCTGCCTCAGCCTCCCGAGTAGCTGGGACTATAGGCACATGCAGCCATGCCCGGTTAATTTTTTGTATTTTAGTAGAGACGGGGTTTCACTGTGTTGCCCAGGCTGGTCACGAACTCCTGGGCTCAGGCAATCTGCCCACCTCAGCCTCCCAAAGTGGTGGGATTACAGGCGTGAGCCACCACACCCGGCCTCCTTTTTTCTTCCAAATATAAAATGATAGCTTTACTCTCAACACTTTAATAAGGTACAATAAGATACAAGATTCAACTGGCCAAAAATAAAAATAAAGATTCAACTTGCTGGGTTCAGAAAGTTATCATGGATTATCAGTGAACTGCTTTACAAATTTTTAAAACTAAAAATCAGCATCAAAAAATATATAGATCACATACCATGCTCTTATCCTTAAAATAAAGTAGATCATAAAGTTCCCTTATGATCATCAATCTCTGTTTGCTTCAGACAAGAAAACATGCAACAAGGATTGAAAATAAAAGAGAGCCGATAACAGTAAAACCATTCTGAAAAAGTGTCTTGCTTCAAACAGAGTTAAGGTCAATTGAAATGTCTTAAGTATATGTTAAGATTTCAAGGAATTAAAAATCTTTGAAATACATAACCACATCAGCATCACCATAGAGGTAGTTAATGAGGCCAAGGAGGCTTTCTACCTACCTACCATATTATCTTTCTCCTGATCCTGCTTCTTCAGGTAACTTAATACTGACATTATGTCTTTCTCCATTTTACATTGCTTTTTCTTTAAGTCCTCATTACTTTTTGCCAGTATCCGTGAAGTATCACGATACTTAATCCTAGAGAGTTCTGTGACTTCCAACCTGGCCTCCCAAAGGGAGGCATTGGCCTTGGCTCTGTCCACCACAGATTCATCTGTTTTTATTAACTTCCTGCATGGGAAGAGGATATTGACAGTATATGACTATTTATACAACTCTAATATGCAGATAGTATATAACTCTATTATATTACTATTAAATTTTTCTCTTTTTTTATTTGTTTTGCTTGGCATTGCCTGGCACACATGATCAAATATTGTTGGAAGAATAAGTTAATAAGAAATACATATTCACATTTGAAAAAAGAAAAAAAAAGAAATACATATTCACTTGTATTCACATAAGATAATTAAGTAAGTGCCTCTTCCTGGAGGAGGGGAGTCCTGGAGCATAACTCGAAAAGACTGGTAAAACAAAGGGAAAAGACAGGATAAGCCAAACTCATTTCAGAAAGCTTTCATATCTTTTTTTTTTCTTTTTGAAACTGGGCCTGGCTGTGTCACCGGGCTGGAGTGCAGTAGCACGATCTCGGCTCCCCAGAACCTCTGCCTCTTGGGCTCAAGCCATCCACCCACCTCAGCCTCCCAAGTGGCTGGGACTACAGGTTCATGCAACTATGCCCAGCTAATTTTTGTACTTTTTGTAGAAATGAGTTTTTGCCATGTTGCCCAGGCTGGTCTTGAACTCCTGGGCTCAAGTGATCCTCCTACCTCAGCCTCCGAAAGTGCTGAGATTACAGGTGTGAGCCACTGCGCTTGGGCAGTTTTTATACCTTTTCATTTACTTATTTGATTCTCCCATATTTATTTTTTTTTTAATAGAGATGGGGTCCCACTATGTTGCCTATGCTGGTCTCCAACTTCTGGGCTCAAGTATCCTCCCACCTTGGCCTCTCAACGTGCTGAGATTACAGGTGTGAACCAGTGCCCTAGCCTGATTCTCCTGTAGTTAAACTATCTTTTCTATTCCTACTCACTCAGTGCTGGACTTTGGTTCTCTCCACTGCAAACCCATTATCTCTGTTCAGTTTCTGCATGATGATACCCATTGGTAGTATAACTGTGATCTCCCACCCACTTTACCCTCCACTTTTGAGTGTGTTTTTTTTTTTTCTGGGGGAGGGACGGAGTCTCACTCTTTCACCCAGGCTGAAGAGCAGTGGCGTGATCTCGGCTCACTGCAAGCTCCGCCTCCCAGGTTCATGCCATTCTCCTGCCTCAGCCTCCCGAGTAGCTGGGACTACAGGAGCCCGCCACCAGGCCCGGCTAATTTTTTGTATTTTCAGTAGAGACGGGGTTTCACCGTGTTAGCCAGGATGGTGTTTTTGTTTTGTTTTGTTTTGGGCTAGGTCTTGGACAAAAAGTCAAGTCACTAGGGCAAATACGTTAAATAGTTTATCAGCTGGTGCCACAGTTCACCGGACTTTTTTTTTTTTTTTGAAACAAGATCTTGCTCTGTCATCCAGGCTGTAGTGCAGTAGCACCATCACAGCTCACTGCAGCCTCAACCTCCCAGGCCCAAACGATCCTCCACCTCAGCCTCCTAAGTAACTGTGACTACAGGCATGAGTTAGCATGCCCAACTAATTTTTAATAAAAATTTTTGTAGAGACAGGGTCTTCCTATGTTGTTCAGGCTGGTCTTGAACTCCTGGGCTCAAGTGATCTTCCCCTGCTCAGCCTCCCAAAGTGCTGGGCATGAGCCACGATGCCCCACCCACCGGGCTTTAAGGATGCCTGAGAAACCATAATCATTTATATAGAGGTGGAGAGGAAAAAGGATGGATTCAAAGATTAAAGTGGTAAAGGAAGAGATTTTTCTAAATATTTATTGTATAAGCATTAACAAAACACTCCCCCTTATATATGGTAGGTACCATGATATATAAATATGTACATATTTAAGAATATTTCACCTGTATTTGAATTCTAAATATTTTCACACATATGTACATGTGGACCTTTCTATACTGCCACCCTCCACATCCACTTTCCTACCTCTGGTTCTCAGTCCTCTTCCACAGAGGTAATGGGTTTGCAGTGGAGAGAACCAAAGTCCCACTTTCACCTTTTGTTCTCTTCAAATTAAGGCCAGCTCCATTCCCAACCCCTCAGCCTGTTATAGCTGTTGATGTCCCTTTCTGGCATGATTTAGGCACTAGTGATACACTGTCTCACTACGACCATCCAGGTATCAGGTCTGAGTGGCTCGAAGTACTTGATGCGACAGGGCATGGTGGCTCACGGCTGTCATCCCAGCACTTTGGGAGGCCGAGGCGGGTGGATCACCTGAAGTCAGGAGTTCGAGACCAGCCTGGCCAACATGGTGAAACCCTGTCTCCACTAAAAATAAAAAAATTAGCTGGGCGTGGTGACGGGTGCCTGTAATCACAGCTACTCGGGAGGCTGAGGCAGGAGAATTGGTTGAACCCAGAAGGCAGAGGTTGCAGTGAGCTGAGATCGTGCCATTGCACTCCGGCTTGGGCAACAAGAGCAAAACTTGGTGTCAAGAAAAAAAAAAAAGTACTTGATGCAAGAAATTAGACACTCTAATAGGACCACTGATACTCACTGTAGAAACAAAGCCAGGTTTCTCAAACAATGGGTCATGGAAAATCCAAGGAATAAGGTCTCTTACCCTTAGTGTTCCTCATTGTTCAAATGTGTACTGTAGAAGCATGGTCAAAATCTGAAAACATATGTTAGTGAGTTCTAGGAATGTGATAAGCCCTTGGCACTTTAAGGGCTAGACTAACTGTGCAGTTATGTAAAAACAAAAAAAAAATACCATAAAAGAATACTTACATTAACAAATGGGAAGAAAAAAGCCACATATAAGTATGTACATTGGGCTATCGTTTTATTAAAAAAGAATACTCCAAAATATAGTAGTGTTTATTTTTGGATAATGAGACTACAGGTGATTTTTGTTTTTTCTTTTGGTACTTCCCATGTTTCCCAAACTTTCTGTATTGAGCATGAATTACTCTCTTAAGTTACTTTACAAACATCTCAAGTTTGGTGCCAACTCTGTGTTCCCATATATGGTGTTGTTGCTGGACACCACGTATGACTCCAACGTGTCCAGAAACCACCGGGGTCCCCCAATAGGGCTAGTAGCAATCTAGCAGCAACTCCAGGCCTGTAAGGGGTTAGTGCTAGAACATTACCCACCTCAGTGGCTCTGATCAGTTTGGGAAAACCTCAATAATTATCCAACTTGGTAAAATACTTTAGGTGTCCCCTTTGAACCAAAAGAGATCTCTGAAAAGGCCCAAGGAACTACTTTATACATCCTCTACACGTTTAAGATAATCTGAACACATAGTAGAGATCTGCCAGACTATGGACATGGGAGCTGTAATCCTCACAAGCCGGGAGAGCCGGGGAGAGGGTCCGAGTGGGCCGGCGCGGGGGGCGCCAGGTTGCCAGCCCCAGACCCGAAATCCCAGGCAGGCCCAGGGAGAGGGGACTCTCGGGTGGCTTCTCCTTACTTCGTGTCTTTGCCTTTGCTCTTGCCTTTCTTTTTGTCCTTTCCCTTCGACGGCATCTTGGCTTCCCCAGGGGCTCCGCTGTCGTAGTTGCCCAGCCGCGGCCGCCCTGGCCAGCTCTGTCTCCAAGGGAACCGGGACGCCGAGCTGGCAATGCCCCACCCGCGCCGCTGACGGCGCGCGGAGAGCGCACGCGCCCGTGACGTAGCCCAGGCGCCGCGGCGCGCGGGGTGGGGCGGAGGTCGCGCCGAGGGCGGCGGGCTGCCGCGCAAGGGTGGCGCGCGCGCGGTGAGTGTGCGAGTGTCGGCGGCGCCGGATCCTCTACGTGGGGCCCGGGCTCTGCGGGCGGGAGGCGGGAGCTGGCAGCCCCAGGCGGTAGCGCTTCGTCCTGCGGCCTGGGTGTGTCAGGAGTCGCTGCGGTCGGGGCGCCCTTGCCTCAGGAGACTTAGATCCCCGCTGATCCGCCCGTCCCGCCGCAGTGGTCTGAGCCGCAGCCCTTTCCCGTGCCGCCCGCGGGTCCCGTTCCTCCCGTGTCTCCATGCCGCAGCCAGCGTGGCCGCGGCTACCTTGCCCTCGCCCCCGCTCCGCTTCTGCCGCTCCCGGCACTGCCTTACTCCTTTGGGTTGCATCTCTTTCCTGGCTTTTCACCCTTGCTGATTCTGTAAGGGATAGTGCAGCCAGCGGACGTCCCAGGCCAAATGTTTTTTGATAGGCAGTCGAGGACTTTCCCGAGGGCGGTGGTTGAGGGCGAGGCTGCCAGCCTCCGAAGAGCAGCGGCACGCCAGGGAGCCGGGCGGGGAGGGGAGTGCTGCCACCGAGGTCGGGAGCAGGGTCCTCGGCCTCACTAGGTCCTGTGTGGCCGATACTTCCTGCCCACGACCGCCCCCCGGATTTCCATTTGCTAATACCGGTCCGCAGCCTTCTTTCCTGAAAGTTGCATAAAGTTGGAAGCTCTTCAACTTGCCTCCCCGACTCCTGAAATCCCGAATACACCTCTGAAAAGGAGTGTACTCACAAGTATTCTCATTTTTCAATGAGAGTCAGTCAGTGAGTCATTAAGGAAGGTACGGTATTCTGAGTGCCAAGCCAATAGTTAGGAGACTTGTGGTTGAAGCTCTGCTCTGTTATACTCCATTTCAAATTAAAAAGTTTATTTTAAATGTGGTTGTAGATCCTTCGTCACCATTTCTCTAGGGAGGACTTAATCCGTACACTCCTTCCCGATGTCTTTGACCTCTAATTACTCCCCTCCGCCTTGTTTCCCACTTGCATAGTTTCTGTTTCTGAATTTCTGTTTCTTCTGAGGGAACATGCCGATTTGGTAATGATAAGCCTTGTAAACTTTTTTTTTTTTTTTTCTGAGAGAGAGTCTTCTGTCACCCAGGCTGGAGTGCAGTGGGGCATCTCGGCTCCCTGCAACCTCCACCTCCTTGGTTCAAGCGATTCTCCTGCCTCAGCCTCCCCAGTAAGTGGGACTACAGGTGCATGCCACCACACCCGGCTAATTTTTGTATTTTTGGTAGAGATGGAGTTTCACCATGCTGGCCAGGCTGGTCTCGAACTCCTGGCCTCAGGTGATCCACCTGCCTCGGCCTCCCAAAGTGTTGAGATTACAGGCGTGGGCCACCGCCCCGGCTGTAAACCTTTTTTTTGAGACAAGAGTTTTGCTCTTGTTGCCTAGGCTGGAGTGCAATGGCGCAATCTCGGCTCACCACAACCTCTGCCTCCCGGGTTCAAGCAATTCTCCTGCCTCAGCCTCCCCAGTAACAGACTATAGGTGCGTGCCACCATGCCAGGCTAATTTTTGTATTTTTGGTAGAGACAGAGTTTCACCATGCTAGCCAGGCTGGTCTTGAACTCCTGGCCTCAGGTGATCCACCCGCCTTGGTCTCCCAAAGTGTTGAGATTTACAGGCATGAGCCACCGCCCCCGGCTGTAAAATTTTTTTTTTTTTTTTTTGAGACAGAGTTTTGCTCTTGTTGCCCAGGCTGGAGTGCAATGGCACGATCTCGGCTCACCGCAACCTCCACCTCCCAGTTCAAGCGATTCTCCTGCCTCAGCCTCCCGAGTAGCTGGGATTACAGGCACACACCACCATCCCTGGCTAATTTTGTATTTTTAGTAGAGACAGGGTTTCTCCATGTTGGTCAGGCTGGCGTAAACCTTATTATACATACCATCTGCCAGCATGATCATGGCTTTTTCTTTTCTTTTTTTTTGAGATGGAGTTTCGCTCTTGTTTCCCAGGCTGGAGTGCAATAGCACGATCTCGGCCCACCGCAGCCTCCACCTCCCAGGTTCAAGCAATTCTCCTGCCTCAGCCTCCCGAGTAGCTGGGAATCCAGGCATGCGCCACCATGCCCGGCTACTTTTGTAATTTTAGTAGACACGGGGTTTCTCCATTTTGGTCAGGCTAGTCTCGAACTTCCAACCTCAGGTGATCCGCCCGCCTCGGCCTACCAAAGTACTGGGATTACAGGCGTGAGCCACCACGCCTGGCCGATCATAGCTTTTTCTGAGTGTATTTCTGGTATACTTTCACACTCCCGTGAGTCCATAGGCGGAATCGCCATATATTGAAGAGTTTATCTCTGATGTAAAATCTATAAAGTTACCATTAATTTTGTATGTGTAAGGTTCTGAAAAAGCACACTGTTGATAAGCTGCAGAAAAGAGAGTAGGGCATCTTCTGTCACAGGCTGTATATTTGGAATTTATTCTAGAAATTGGTAACTTTATAATATGAAAGTCAGTCCAAGACTCCTCATTTGAACATAGGCTTACAGATTAATGTATGAACATAAAAATTTGACTATAACAAGATTATTAATGTATGCGTAGTACCTTAGTTATAGTACTTTATAGTTTCTTTTATTGGTTTTTGGGTTTTTTGATGGTTTTTTTGAGATAGGGTCTTACTCTTAACCATGCTGGAGTACAGTGGCAGGATCATGGCTCATTACAGCTTCGACCTCCTGGACTTAAGTGATCCTCCCACCTCAGCCTCTGGCATAGCTGGGACTGTAGGCATGCACCACCATGCCTGGCTAATTTTGTATTTTTTGTAGAGACAGGGTTTTGCCATGTTGCCTAGGCTGGTCTTGAACTCCTGAGCTCAGGTGATCCTCCTGCCTTGGCCTCCCAAAGTGCTGGGATTACAGGCATGAGTCGCCACACTTGGCCTAGTTTATTTTATTGTATTATATATATTTTTTATTGACTAAGTTTGATTTTGTAGATAAAGCTGTTGTGACATGAATATGGCTCAGGGAAATGCCAAGATTTCATACTCTGGTAGAGGTGGATATAGAGTCTACATTCTTCTGAATCCCCTCATTTTCTACCAAAGAACTGGATGTTGTTACTGTCATCTGCTGGTGAGCAACAACTGATAGTACAGATAGTAGAGTAGGAAGTTGCTATTTAGTAGTTTATCTGGTAGCATTTCCTTCCACAGTTACTGGTAGGTGCCTTTACTATGAAGTTCCAGGAATTATTACTAAATAAATTTTCCTTGTTTCATTGTTTAGAACACTAATGCTTTTAAACTTGGAATAAGCCACTTCATGTTTTGTTGACTTGGTTTTGTAATTCTTTTTCTGTCCAGTTTTCCTTGTTCCTGGTCAACAAAGAAATGTGGAGTGTCTTGGCTGAATCCTCATACAGACAAGATCATTATGGTGCTGTTAGGTAGGACTTGTATCCAGATGTAAGGTAATATCTCCACTAGCTTAAATTTATAAATGTATTTCAAATGTTCCTGAATGGTGGTTTTCTTTTTTTCCTGAATTTAATTCTCTGTTTTTTGCCAAGTGATGTTAATTTTGTCCAACAAGCCATATATAAAATTTAGAACTATTATGTATCAAAATAGATAGAATTTCTGGCTGGTCATGGTGGTTCATGCCTGTAATCCTAACACTTTGGGAGGCCAAGGCAGACGGATTGCTTAAGCCCAGGAGTTCAAGACCAGTCTGGACAACATGGCAAAACCCTGTCTTTACAAAAAATACAAAAATTAGCTGGGTGTGGTGGCCATGTACCTGTAGTTCCAGCTACTCAGGAGGCTGAGTTCAGAGGATCACCTGAGCCCAGGGAGATCATGGCTGCAGTGAGCCGTGCCACTGTATTCCAGCCTGAGCAATGGTGTGACTGTTTCTCAAAAAAAAAAGGGGGGGCGGGGGGTGGGTAGTACTTCTGCTTTTTTCTTCTAGTAGGTCCAAAACTGGGTTTACTTTATAAATTCATCTATAACTTTATTCGGGTTTACCTTAGAGGCCATGTTTCCCTTCATAAATCATTCTTGAGATCACCTTATAGCAGATGGTACTTTATAGGTGGATCAGTCTAAGTGAACAACTTTAGATTTTGTTTCTACATAGCCTTTAGAATCCTGAATAAATATATTATTATCCAAACTGTTTCTTATGGGAGTTACTTTCTTTTTTTTTTTTTTTGAGAGGTAGTCTTGCTCTGTCGCCCAGGCTGGAGTGCAGTGGCACAATCTTGTCTCACTTCAACTCTGCCTCCCAGGTTCAAGCAATTCTCCTGCCTCAGCCTCCCGAGTAGCTGGGATTACAGATGCCTGCCACCATGCCCGGCTAATTTTTGTATTTTAGTAGAGACAGGGTTTCACCCCCATGTTGGCCAGGCCGGTCTTGAACTCCTCACTTCAAGTGATCTGCCTGCCTCGGCTTCCCAAAGTGCTGAGATTACAGGCTTGAGCCACCACACCTGGCCAGGAGTTACTTTCATCCTGCTTTTTTATTGCATGTGCTGCAAATATAGAATTCTACTAAATTGACATTTTCTCGTGATATTAAGACTAGTTCACATCTCTGCAGGGGCATTTTAAGAAATCCTGGCGGTCAAGGATTTAATCTTATCACTTTTAGATAAATTTTTAAAAATTTAAAACATTCAATGTTTTACTTATATACAAGATATGTTACCACAGATAATTATTTGTTTATTTATTTGTTAATGAATGACAGGGTCTCACTATGTCACCCAGGCTGGAGTGCAGTGGTGCAATCATGACTCACTGCAGCCTTAACCTTCTGGGGTCAAGCAATTCTCCCATGTCAGTCTCCTGAGTAGCTAGGAGCACAGGCTTGTGCCACCATGCCCAGCTAACTTTTTTTTGTGGGGGGGGGGAGTAAAGACTGGATCTCACTCTGTTGCTACTGGGCTCAAATGGTTCTCCTACCTCAGGCCCCCAAAGTGCTGGAATTATAGTTGTGAGCCACTATGCTTGGCCATATATTTTTGAAATGGGGTTTTGTTATGTTGTCCAGGCTGAACTTAAGCTCCTGAGCTCAAGAGATCCTCCTACTTCAGCTTCCCAAGTAGTTGGGACTACAGGCGTGCACCACTATGCCTACAAATAATCATTAACTACTGTTCCTTTATTTGCAAAATATCCCATTTTTATTAGTTGTCCATCCCAACAGAGCCACAGACTAAAAGTTCTCTAAGAAAACTTACCTGGACTGGGCACAGTGACTCACATCTATAATCCTAGCATTTTGGGAGGCCGAGGTAGGAGGATTGCTTGAGCCTAGGATTTTGAGACCGGCCTGGACAACATAACAAGACCCTGTCTCTATTTTTTAAAAAAAGCAATGAAAAATTACCTAAGTTTTAGGCCCACTTGTCTGCATTTTTATGTCATGGATCTGTCAAATGTTCATTCATTTAAGAAACATTTAATGAATACCAACTGTATAACAGCCTGTCTGATAACTTCATGGGTACAGTAAGGAACAAGAGAAGGCCCTTGCCCTCAAATTGTTTACAGTCAGATGTATAAAGCTCTGACCTGGATGTTGATCTCTGAGAATATACAACCTTATTGTCACCCATACACAAACACTTAACAGTAAACAGTACCAAGCAGGGATTGATAAAGGAGAGATGGTGTAGACCAGGGGTGTTCAATCTTTTGGCTTCCTTGGGCTACATTGGAAGAAGAAGAATTGTCTTGGGTCACACATAAAATATACTAACACTAATGATGGCTGATGAGCTTAAAAAAAAATCACAAAAAAAGATCTCATAATATTTTAAGAAAGTTTACAAATTTGTGTTGGGCTGCATTCAAAACCATCCTGGGCTACATGCGGCCCATGGGCTGTGGGTTTTGACTAAGCTTGGCCCAAACCCTAGGTGCTATAGAATTTGGAGGCATTTAAGACTGTCGTAGTCAGGGAAAGTTTATAGAAGGAGATGGACTGAAAGGAGAGGGAAGTTCCTCTGGGAAGTTAGAACAATGTGAGCACAATTCAGAGTATGCTTAAAATAGGGAGTAGTTTAACTCTAGCATTGGTTCCTAAAGTGTGGTCCACAGACCGGTAACATCAGCTTCACCTGGTAACTTATTAGAACTACAGTTTCACAGGCCCCACCTGAGACCTACTGATTCAGAAATACTGGCAATGAGGCCCAGCAGTCTATGCCCTCCAGGTGGTTCTGATGCGTGCTAAAGTTTCAGAACCACTAGACTAGAGCAGAGGGTTATTGTATGGAACAAGTAGGCAAAACACTCTAAAAAGGTAGGCTGGGAACTCATTGTGAATGACTTAGAATGTCAGACAGGGAGTTTGTCTTTTATCCTGCAGACTAGAGGCCCCAGCTTGTGACTTGAGGGCTGGACTTGGCTCATAGAATGTGTTTCGTTTGGCCTGAATGGTAGGTTTTTGGGGGTTTTTAAATGGAATTAGTTGTCATCATTTAAAAATCAGCAGATTTTACAAAGAAATCTGTGCTTTCAGCTTACCTTGAAAAATCAGAAGACCTGGCAGTATGGAGCCTACATTCCATTATGGTAGCAGTTGGTGGGAATAGCAAGAAGCTGCCCCTTTAGATGGGACACATGCTCTCCAGTTTACTGCAATCCCCACCGGTTCCTTTTGTCTTACACACACCTTTACTCATTTATATTTCCTGCCTGGTGCCTGTAGGTGTTTGAGTTTGTAACTTCTGTTGTGGACAGTGGGACATTAATGAAAATTTTGAGAAGCAGAGTGATGAGATTTATGTATTTGTTAATTTATTTAACAAACATTAATTAAACATATATGCCAGATTGTACTCTGTTAAGTAATCAGTGTTCAAAGATGAATGAGTCCCAGCTGGGACCGGTGGCTCATGCCTATAATCCCAGCACTTTAGGAGGCGAAGTCTGGTGGATCACTTGAGGTCAGGAGTTCAAGACCAGCCTGGCCAACATAATGAAACCCCCCCCTCTCTACTAAAAATAAAAAATTAGCCGGGGATGGTGGTGGGCACGTGTAATCCCAGCTACTTGGGAGGCTGAGGTGGGAGAATTGCTTGAACCCAGGAGGCGGAGGTTGCAGTGAGCCGAGATCATGCCATTGCACTCCAGCCTGGATGACAGAGTGAGACTCCATCTCAAAAAAATAAAAATAAATAAAATACATGTTTACTTTGGAGACCTTATAGTTAGAATTTATAACATGGGTTGCGTGAGTCAAATCCATAATTCAAATCCTGTCTTGAATGTGTAATCTTCAGATTTATGTTGCATAGGTAAGTTTAACTTTTTTGTTCCTGAGGGAATAGAAAATAATATATAAACTCAAATTCTTAAGTGATTCTTTCACCTCAGCCTCCCAAAGTGCTGGGAGTATAGGCATGAGCCACCAAGCCCCCATCTGCTTGGTCCCTTTTAACCACATACTCGTGCATGTAATAGTAAGTAGCCACTCATTGATCATACTGTGGAACATATGGCTGACATTTTAACAGCAAAAAAAGACCTCACATCTCGGCTCACTGCAACCTCGACTTCCCATATTCAAGCAATCCTCCTGTCTCAGCCTCCCAAGTAGCTGGGACTACAGGCACATGCCACCACACCTGGCTAATTTTTTTTATATTTTGTAGAGATGGAGTTTCGCCACATTGCCCAGGTTGGTCACAAACTCCTGAGCTCAAGCTGTCTGCCTGCCTTGACTTCCCAAAATGCTAGGATTATAGGCGTGAGTTGCTGCGCCCAGTCTGTGTACTTTACTTATGAATTAGCTCCTTGGTCATTGCCTTCTCCACCTTTACACACACATATACACCAGCTTCTAGAGGGAGTGTGACTTGCTTCTCTTGCTGTTGGTGACTTTTTAAATGAGCTGGATGTGTGGTAAAGTGGCTGAGGTTGTAGTTTGAGTGAGAAGAAAGTGTAGGGGAGCAGAAAGAGCTGAAGGGCATTAGACTACAACTCAGGAGATGAGCTTGGTGATCTGGGTTCCAAAGCCTGAAAAGATTAGAAATGAAAATGTGGAAGAGATAACTGAGTCAAAAGTAGGCATACTGACAGCAGAGAAAAAGAGGAAACTGTTCTTATAATTATTCATGTCCATCTTACACAGGTTGAAAAAGTGATATAATAAAGGAACCAAGGAGAAAATTCAGAAGGAAAGAAAAAATTGGTAAGTAACATATATAAGTAATACTTCACTTTTTCATAGGTCAGATTTCTGCAAATTCTGCTTTGTTGTTCCTAGCTGAGAGCTCACAGTAGATGGAAAAGGGTCCATAAGGCACTGAAAGAGCTGTCACAAAGTGCAGTACCCTTATTCTGTTGGAGAGGTCTTCATTTGCTTATGTTGACATGAAATTCTAATAATTATGGCTTCCTGATTTACATCCTACAACAGATTTAAAAAGAAAATTAGGAGGTAATGGTGGTTTATTGAAGGAGCTGGGCACATGACAGTACTGATCAGTGAAAATATATAGCATGATGTCAGAAAAAACTAGCTCAAAAAGGATAGCAATCTGGGACCATTTGGTGACAGAAGGGCAAACAGTCCTGTAGACCTACTGTAGCCCTTGGAGGCATCTCAGGTTTACAGGAAAATATAACTGATAATCATAATCATGACTTTGAACTATAAATAAAAGTGGTTTTCCCTGTAGGAAATTATATAATTCACAATGGAAACACTTTTTATTTTTTTTTTTTGAGATAGAGTTTCGCTCTTGTTGCCCAGGCTGGAGTGCAATGGCTTGATCACGGCTTACTGCAACCTCTGCCTCCTGGGTTCAAGCGATTCTCCTGCCTCAGCCTCCCGAGTAGTTGGGATTACAAGCATGGGGCACCATGCCTGACTAATTTTGTATTTTTAGTAGAGACAGGGTTTCTCCATGTTGGTCAGGCTGGTCTCAAACTCCCGACCTCAGGTGATCTGCCCACCTTGGCCTCCCAAAGTGCTGGGATTACAGGCGTGAGCCACTGCGCCTGGCCGAAAACACTTTTACCAAACACTAAGTGTTATAGTGGAGCCAGGTGCAGTGGCTCACACTTGTAATCCCTTGAGAGGTTTGGGACTTGGGAGGCTGAGGCTGGTGGATCATTTGAGGCCAGGAGTTTGAGACTGTCCTGGGCAACATAGCGAGACTCCTTTCTCTATAAAAAAATTGAAAACACGGCTGGGTGCGGTGGCTTACGCCTGTAATCCCAGCACTTTGAGAGGCCGAGGCAGGCGGATCACGAGATCAGGAGATCGAGACCATCCTGGCTAACACGGTGAAACCCTGTCTCCCTAAAAATACAAAAAATTAGCTGGGCGTGGTGGCGGGCACCTGTAGTCCCTGCTACTCAGGAGGCTGTGGCAGGAGAATGGCTTGAACCCAGGAGGTGGAGCTTGCAATGAGCCGAGATCATGCCACTGCACTCCATCCAGCCTGAGCGACAGAGCGAGACTCCGTCTCAAAAAAAAAAAATCGAAAACATGCAAAAATTATCTGGGTGCAGTGGTTCATGCCTGAAGTCCCAGCCCTCTGGGAGGTTGAGGCAGGAGGATTGCAGGAGTTTAAGGCCGCAGTGAGCTGTGATTGCTCCACTGCAGCCTGGGTGACAGAGCAAGACCTTGTCAATAAAATTAAATTTTTTTAAAAACCCCAAGTTTTTTTGGTATTTAGAAGGAAAGCATTTTAAAGCCACATTTGGTGGGGGAAAGACAAATTTGGGAAAATGTAATTATGGGGAACCCCTATTCCTTCCTTTATACATGAAACTATCATTGTAATATTTTTATCTTTGGCATGTTTTTCATTTTGATTTAACATGTTTGAAGCAGTAGCTATTTTTCAGTTGATAACAAGAAAGGGAAAATGTTTTTATTCTCTTCCCACAGTTAAAATCCAATATAAACGGTGCCCAGTGGCACTGATCCTAGTGGCAGTTACTCTTCTGTAAATAGTGCCTCCCACAATGGATATGGGTTTGGAGGCAGACAGAGCTTATCACCTCAGATTTTCATTCTGATTTTTCATTGGGGCAATATGAACCCCCTCCTGAATGACAGTATCTTCTTATCTAAAGGACTTTGATTCTTAATGAATGGGCAAGAAAAGACCTTCTGGTTTGTGAAGAAAAAGAGGCAACAATAGCAACAGCTTTCCTCCAAGTGATTATTGTAGCAAAGTCAAGCCTGAAACAATGGAGAATGAAGTTATGCCTGACTCATTTTGTTATTACACCCAAATGAGTTCATTGTACAGAATGGGCCTTTTTGACACGTGTCTAATGATATTTTGATGCAAATGAAATAATACACATAAAAAATGACCTGTTTACAGGAAAGACTGATGTATTTGTTGATAACTACCAGTGACATCAATTCTCATTTCTTTATTGGCAGTTACAGTATTTGAATTTAGGGTTAGACCTTAAAGGATATATCCAGCCAGGCATGGTGGTATAAGCCTATAATTCCAGCTACTCAGAAGGCTGAGGCAGGAGGATCACTAGAACTCAGGAGTTTGAGACCAGTCTGGGCACAAGAAGACCCTGTCTTAAGAAAGAAAAAATAAAAGTCTAGGCCAGGCGCAGTGGCTCATGCCTGTAATCCCAGCACTTTGGGAGGCCGAGGCGGGTGGATCATGAGGTCAGGAGATCGAGACCCTCCTGGCTAACACTGTGAAACCCCGTCTCTACTAAAAATACACAAAAAGTTAGCCGGGCATGGTGGCAGGCACCCATCGTCCTAGCTACTTGGGAGGCTGAGGCAGGAGAATGGTGGCGTGAACCTGCGGGAGGCGGAGGTTGCAGTGAGCCAAGATCGTGCCACTGCACTCCAGCCTGGGCGACAGAGCGAGACTCCGTCTCAAAAAAAAAAAAAGAAAAAAGAAAAAATAAATAATAAAAAATAAAAGGCTATATCATTTGACAAGCCGTCTGATCAGTGAATCTGTTCTGGAAACATGATCAGATTTGGAGCAAAGACCCTTCCCTCCCTACCAGTTTGAGACAGCTCATATTGTTGGAACTTAATTCTGTTCAATCCCTCCCCCAGGAGGTTCCATGCTCACTGGTCTTATTATATGTAAGTCTTTGACAATGATCTAAGAAAAGCTGAGTTAAAAAATTTTTTTTTTCTTTGTCTGGGGGTGGTGGCTTATGCTTGTAATCCCAGCACTTTGGAAGGCTAAGGTGGACGCATCACTTGAGGTCAGGAGTTCAAAACCAGTGTGGCCAACATAGTGAAACCCCATCTTTACTAAAAAATACAAAAAAATTAGCTGAGCATGGTGGCGGGTGCCTATAATCCCAGCTTCTGGAGAGGCTGAGGCAGGATAATCACTTGAACCTGGGAGGTGCAGGTTGCAGTGAGCCAAGATCACACCAGTGCACTCCAGCCTCAGTGACAGAGTGAGACTCCATCTCAAAAAAAAAAAAAAAATTTTTTTTTTTCAACACAAGGTCTCACTCTGTCACCGAGGCTGGAGTACAGTGGTGCAATCACAGCTCACGGCAGCTTCAAACTCCTGGGCTCAAGCGATCCTCCTGCCTCACCCTCCCGAGTAGCTGAGACTACAGGTATGTGTCACCATGCTCAGCTCAAAAGCTGACTTTTAAATAAACCTTTTTATTAGTTTTATTGACTTGAAAAATATTGCTATAAAATTTTTCTATGGTTTTCAAATCTGTTCCAGTTGTCAGTCTTGTCCCTTTTCACCAAATACCTCTTCAGTACCTAATTTTTTTTTTTCCAAGGTGGAGTCTTGCTCTGTCACCTAGACTGGAGTGCAGTGGCGTGATCTCAGCTCACTGCAACCTCTGCCTCTTGGGTTCAAGCAATTTCTTCTGCCACGGCCTCCTGAGTAGCTGAGACTACAGGCATGCGCCAGCATGCCCAGCTAATTTTTTATATTTTTAGTAGAGACGGGGTTTCACCGTGTTAGCCAGGATGGTCTTGATTTCCTGACCTCGTGATCCGCCCTCCTTGACCTCCCAAAGTGCTGGGATTACAGGCGTGAGCCACCGCGCCCGGCCATACCTAATTTTTTTCTAAGAGACAGGATCTTGCTATGTTAGCTTGGCTGGCCTTGAACTTCTAGGCTCAAGTGATCCTCCTGAGTAGCTGGGACTACAGGTGTGTGCCACCATGCCCAGCTAGTACCTAATTGTTAATGCTACCTGATATGATTGGAAGTTTTTTTCTGTATGTAGCATAAAGTTTCTATTCTGCCAATACAAGTATTTTCTTTCATTCTGTATCTTTGTTGATTTAGTGTTTAATTTCAGATTTATTATTTAATTCTTAACTGATATGTATCTTCAAAACAAATACAGTGACTCATTTATTTTCTTCCTACTCTTTCTTAACTATATCTGACTTTTAGTTGAATAATAGGTGGGGTAGCTCAGGCCTGTAATCCTAATGCTTTGGGAGACTGAGGTGGGAGGATCTCATGAAGCCAGGGGTTTGAGACCAGCCTGGGCAACATAGCAAGACTCCATCTCTATAAAAAATTTGAAAATTCACTGGGCATGGTGGCTCATTCCTGTAGTCTAGCTAGTCAGGAGGCTAAGGCAAGAGGATCATTTGAGCTCAGGAGGTGAAGGTTGCAGTGAGCTGTGTCTGCACCACTGCACTTGAGCCTAGGTGATAAAGCAAGACATCTTCTCATTTAAAAAAAAAAAAAAAAGGGCCGGGTGTGGTGGCTCACACCTGTAATATCAGCACTTTGGGAGGCCGAGGCGGGCGGATCACGAGGTCAGGAGATCGAGACCATCCTGGCTAACACAGTGAAACCCCGTCTCTGCTAAAAATACAAAAAATTAGCCGGGCGTGGCGGCGGGCACCTGTAGTCCCAGCTACTCGGGAGGCTGAGGCAGGAGAATGGTGTGAACCCGGGAAGCGGAGCTTGCAGTGAGCCGAGATTGTGCCACTGCACTCCTGCCTGGGCAGCAGAGCGAGACTCCGTCTCAAAAAAAAAAAAAAAAAGGCTTGGCGAGGTGGCTAATGCCTGTAATCCCAGCACTTTGGGAGTCCAAGGTAGGTGGATCACCTGAGATGATCACCAGCCTGACTAACATGGAGAAACCCCGCTTTGTCTCTACTAAAAATACAAAATTTGCTGGGCTTGGTGGTGTATGCCTGTAATCCCAGCTACTTTGGAGGCTGAGGCAGGAGAATCTCTTGAACCTGGGAGGCAGAGGTTGTGGTGAGCCAAGATCATGCCATTGCACTCCAGCCTGGGGAACAAGAGTAAAACTCCATCTCAAAAAAAACAAAAAGGTATTTAAATTTCTTTTCACCTTTAGAAACAAGAAGTACATTGTGTGAGTTGTAGTTTTTCTGACTTTAATTCTTTTCCTTAAGTAAAATATTAGGACTATAACAGAAGATGGAAGTTAAAAGTCAAGTCAGCATTGTTGTTCATTTTGTTTGTTTATTTGTTTTGTTTTTTATTTATTTTTTTGAAATGGAGTCCTGCTCTGTCTCCCAGGCTGGAGTGCAGTGGCATGATCTCAGCTTACCGCAACCTCTGCCTCCTGGGTTCTAGCGATCCTCCTACCTCAGCCTCCCAAGTAGCTGGGATTACAGGCGTGCACCACACACCCAGCTAATTTTTG